>NW_025791787.1:0-170358 GCF_000001405.40 Homo sapiens
TCCAGTGACCCTGGCCGTGGATGCTGACTCCCGACCTGAATTCCTTTGGGGGCTCAGATGTGGGGCGGAGCTGGTTTCTGCCCCTTGCTATGATCTTGAAACTGCTTTTGCAAAAATTGTATCAGTGAGAAAAGTATGACAGTGAAAGAGATCTGAGCTAACCCACCCTGCGTCTTGCCTTCCCCTTAATTATTCCTGGGTTATTGGGCTGAGCTAACTTTGAGAGACTTTTAGGATATAGTGTTAATAGGTCTCCCCCCAAATTCAACCGCTTTTGTAAAGCTAATGGGAGGCCATCAGGCTGGGAGGTGGAGAGGAGCCTGCGTCCTGCTAAGGCGCAGACATAAACGATTGTCAGCCATTATTCTTGAGGTTTTAAGATATGCAACTTCCCCAATTACTCCTGCAAATAATATCACTGTTGTAGAACCTAAGATATCTTTTCAGTTTTATCTTCATGTCTGACATCTATGGTTCCACCTGGACCTACCAACCCCACTCCTGTGGCCCACCAGAAGCTATTGAGCTCGCAGGAGGGCAGCTTCCACCTGCTATGATTTCATCTCCACCTCAGCCAATCAGCAGCCACCCACAGCCCTTCCCCCAAACTGCCTTTGAAAAACTCCTGGCCGGGCATGTTGGCTCATGCCTGTAATCACAGCACTTTGGGAGGCCGAAGTGGGTGGATCACCTGAGGTCAGGAGTTTCAGACCAGCCTGGCCAACATGATGAAGCCCCATCTCTACTAAAAATACAAAAAATTAGCTGGGTGTGGTGGCGGGCACCTGTAATCCCAGCTATGCGGGAGGCTGAGGCAGGAGAATCACTTGGACCCGGGAAGCAGAGGTTGCAGTGAGCCGAGACAGCGCCATTGCACTCCAGCCTGGGAAACAAGAGCAAAAAACTCCCTCTCAAAAAAAAAAAAAAAAAAAAAAACAAAAAAGGAAAGAAAAACCCCTAACCCTTGGTTGGGGATGGTGGCTCACGCCTGTAATCCTTCCTAGCACTTTGGGAGATCTAGGCGGGTGATCAGCCTGGCCAACATAGCGAAACCCTGTCTCTACTAAAAATACAAAAAAATTAGCCAGGTGTGGTGGGGGGCGCATATAATCCCAGCTGCTCAGGAGGCTGAGGCAGGAGAATTGCTTGAACCTGAGGCGCGGAGGTTGCAGTGAGCCGAGATTGCACCACTGCACTTCAGCCTGGGCGAAAGAGCGAGACTGTCTCAAACAAACAAACAAAAACAAAAAAACAAAAAAACCCTAACCCACGAGCTTTGGACAAGATGATTTGAGTATAAATTCCATCTCCCATGGTCATGAACGGCCTTGTCTCTATTAAACTCTTTCTTTACTGCAATGCTATGGTCTTTCTTTATACAATGGGCAGGAAGAAACACCTTGGTGCTTACAACCTGGTTGCGGGATCCCCAGGCCCTAGTGCCCATGGGGTCCTGGTCTCCACTCCTCCCCATACCCCCAACAGTGGGCCATGCTGATGGTTATGCTATACGCTTTAGGACCTCACTGCACCCGGGGTCAGGACTTAAACATCAGCTGTTTGTCTGGTGGAATGAACAAAACTTTTCCATTTCAGGTGGTAGCACATAGACAGAAATTCTTGTGATTTAATGTTTTTCATCCTGCCAGGGAAAACCATTTTCCCTTTAGAGACGCTTGTCCTGACAACCTATTTGTTTTCTCAAAGCAGTGATATTTCCAGAATTTGTAAGTGCCTGTGTTGGGGGAGGAGGGCTGATTGGAAAGGAGAATGGGGACGCGCAGAAAGAGGAATGAGCTTCCCACAATGATTTCTGATATGAAGAGAAGGTAAAAAGGTAATACAGTTTAGAGTTTTCTCTTTTACCTTCAAAAAGAGCATTACATTATCTTGGGTCTTTTATGTAATCCTCTCTCAGGTTGCTAATTAGGGGGTGATTTCATCGCTGAGCTGCTCTCCAGAAGCCCTGTTGCTTGGGCTTGGAGACTGCTTTGAAAGCTGAAGTTTGTAAATGTGGCTTAGCTGGAGAAGTGCCCCCACAGAGGCCGTGGCTCTGAGCTGAGCTCAGCGCTTCACAGAGAGGAAGTAGCTTTCCGATTCCACCCACTGAGCCAGTGCACTTGCAGCAACTGCAGGGCTTAGAGCATCCTTCAAACCCAAACCCAAAGGCATATGAATGTGGGTTTCTCTCTTTAAAAAATGGGACTATTTTACAACAGCTATAATTTGGGGATGAAAGTGTCAAATAGCCAGGTGCGGTGGCTCACACCTGTAATCCCAGCACTTTGGGAGGCCAAAGCAGGTGAATCACGAGGTCAGGAGATGGAGACCATCCTGGCCAACGTCGTGAAAGCCCGTCTCTACTAAGAATACAAAAAATTTAGCCGAGCGTGGTGGCACGTGCCTGTAATTCTAGCTACTCGGGAGGCTGAGGCAGGAGAATCGCTTGAACCAGGGAGTCAGAGGTTGCAGTGAGCTGAAATTGCGCCACTGCACTCCAGTCTTGTGACAGAGACTCTATCTCAAAAAAAAAAAAATCAGTGTCAAATAGTTTACTGGCACGGACAACATACAGGAAGCCTCATATCAGTTAAGGAAGGCCAGTTGAGTGTCTTCCAGAAAGTCACCCCCAAAGGAAGAAGGAGAGAAGGAGCCTCTCCTAACCTGAGTGCCGGGAAGGAGCAGGGCAGATTCAGGGGAGCCCAGACCAGGTCATACATTGGAGAGATGACCCGAGGGGCCTCTCATTTTCTTCTTTTTCTCAGACAACTGGTCACTCCCCAGGGTTTGACTCTTTCATCCTCAAAGCAAGTTAAAATAAAGGCAGAGCCAGATGACGACCCATCTTATTTATTTATTTAACTTTCACTGCTTTACAAATGTCCATTTTTGTGAGGAGGTTCTGGGACCATCCCACTCTCTCCAAGAGCCTCTAACTCCCCTTTATCCTGGCCAGCCCATGAGATCCTCCCTCTGGAAAGGGACAGGGTCACGCAGCTGTGTGGCTCTGCGGAACCCCAAATCCTGTCTGCTCCACAGTTGACTGCACCCTCCCTTCTGTGTGGCCAGTGGGGAGGAAGACAGAGGACATTGGTCCTGTCCTTGAGGGCCCAATCTAGACGCTGGCCTAGGCCACATTGGGTGGGTGGCACCTAACCTGGGGCTGTGGTTGGAGAGGCTCTCTTGGATTGGGCTGGTTAGAAGCGACACCTGCCCTGTCACACAGTACCTGAGATGAGCATTTGAGTATGAACTATTATTATTATTATTATTATTGTTATTATTAAGATAGAGTTTTGCTCTTGTTGCCCAGGCTGTAGTGCAGTGGCGCGATCTCGGCTCACTGCAACCTCCGCCTCCTGGGTTCAAGCGATTCTCCTGCCTCAGCCTCCTGAGTGGGGCTGGGACTATAGGCGCCTGCCACCACGCCTGGCTAATTTTTGTATTTTTAGTAGAGACGGAGTTTCACCATGTTGACCAGGCTAGTCTCGAACTGCTGACCTCAGGTGATCCACCCGCCTCAGCCTCCCAAAGTGCTGGGATTACAGGTGTGAGCCACCGCACCTGGCCGAGTATAAATTATTAATATTTGGAGCGATCTCAGGTAACACAACCAGAGAGTGGGGCAGTAGGGCCAGCGACAGGGGAACCTTCAACAGGTAAACTGTAAGGCAAAGAAAGAGATGGACTTGGACAAATGGATAGAAACAGTGTCTAGGGATGCGGCCAGGGTGACACACCAGGAAGAAATGTGAGGGGGCGATTTCCAGGGACATCAGGATGTGGCCACCTTCCTGGGGAGGGAGGGAGCTTGGGAAAGCCTCTGGATGGGGGAAAAGCTTCTTTATGACCTGGGTGAGGAGTGCAGGGATATTCCTCTTAAGGTAACTCATTCAGCTGTATGTTTGTTTTATGTGGTTTTCTGAATCTCATTTTTATTTTACAATCAAAGCTGGAAGAAACACATGGATGAGATCAGGAAAAAATGGGGAGGCCTGAGAAAATGTCTATGCGTAGGCTGCTGGAATGTGTCCTTTCTAGGGAGGTCTAGCAGACTTTCTATGCTACAGAGATTTTACACAAAAAAGCTCTTGCCTTTTGTCTTTGACTTGGGTACCGAAGAGTTGAAATGATTTCCTATAACTATGAATTATGCCCTGCTTCCTGGTTTAATTGCTTTTTGCTGAAGTTGATACAAAGATGAATGAGTCTGATAACGTGGTGGTTTCTCATCATCCAAATGCAGGTGGCTTGAGGCCTCCAGGTTTGGTCTAAGGTGAAGTCACGTGTTCTCAGGTGAGCCTCTAAGACCCTGGGCATTTGCACATGATAAAAATGGCCCAGGAAGGAGCCCAGGGAGTCCTGTATCCCTAATGACCTTTCGTGTGGCATGGAGGCATCTTAGCCATGGTACCCTCCACCCCAGGGGCTGGCCTTTAAGAATTCATCAAACCTCTCTCTCTTTCTCTTTTTTTTCTTATTTTTTTTTGAGAAGGAGTCTTGCTCTGTCGCCCAGGCTGGAGTGCAATGGCACGATCTCGGCTCACTGCAACCTCCGCCTCTCGGGTTCCAGTGATTCTCCTGCCTCAGCCTCCTGAGTAGCTGAGATTACAGGTGCCTGCCACCATGCCCAGCTAATTTTTGTATTTTTACTAGAGATGGGTTTTCACCATGTTGGCCAGGCTAGTCTCGATCTCCTGACCTCAGGTGATCCGCCCGCCTCAGCGTCCCAAAGTGCTGGGATTATAGGCATGAGCCACCACGCCCTGCCCAAATCTCTTAAAAGCAAGTAACTGGCCAGGAGTGGGGGAGGGAGGGGACATGGACAAACATTCTGATAAAATGATAAAACAATGACAGGTCTCAAAAGTTGAATACTATTGGGTTATACTCAGGGGATACAAATTCAAAGGAAAAAGTTCCAAGTCAAAAGCTGTGTGGGTCAATGGAGTCCCCCACCTCACCCTGACATGAACAGCTATTTCCTGTTGACACAATTTTTGTACAGCTCCTTCTTTCTTCAAATTTCCCCTCGGCCGGGCACAGTGGCTCACGCCTGTAATCCCAGCACTTTAGGAGGCTGAGGCAGGTGGATCACGAGGTCAGGAGATTGAGACCCCGGTGAAACCCCGTCTCTACTAAAAAAAATACAAAAAATTAGCCGGGCGCGGTGGTGGGCGCCTGTAGTCCCAGATACTCGGAAGGGTGAGGGAGGAGAATGGCGTGAACCCAGGAGGCGGAGCTTGCGGTGAGCCAAGATCGCGCCACTGCACTCCAGCCTGGGCGACAGAGCGAGAGTCCGTCTCAAAAAAAAAAAATTTCCCCTCACATGAAATGAGGTCTTTGGAGATGACTTAAATTGGAGAAATAATACATTTTATGAGGATGTGATAGGACTTGGGGCATGAACATCCCCTCTGGGTCAGCAGTCAGGTGTTTCGGCTCCAAGCAACAGAAAGTCTTTCTCAGAGGGGACAGGGGATGGCGGGGGGTCGGGGGGCGGTGTATATAGGTTCTTTTAAAAAGGTCCAAGAGCAGGTTTGGCTCTAGAAACGAAATAGGCATAACCCAAGGGTGGGGCCCTGCCCTGCACTCTGCAAGCCACCACCCTGGCCATTCCCACTGAGTGACCTCTTCCCTGTTACAGGGGGAGAGAAGCCTCTCATGGACTGAGCCCATGACTGTGCCAGGCTGCGACTGCAGAGTGAGGGAGGAGCAAAGGAGGCTTCCACGAGCGGGCAAGACCTAGCCCCGAGTCCTAGAGGGGCCATTCATGGGGTTTGGAAGCTGGGACACACATGCATATATATACACTCATATAACCCTTATGCACATGTACATACACACACAACACTCATATACACACCACCACACACACACTTACGTACAGATGCATGCTACGTTAAAGACTGAATTTTCTTCTTTTTTGTTTTTGTAGAGATGGGGCGGTCTTGCTATGTTGCCCAGGCTGGTCTCGAACTCCTGGGCTTAAGTGATCCTCCTGCCTTGATCTAACAAATTGCTGAGATTTGGGCATGAGCCGCTGCACCTGGACTGAATTTTCAACCGTGGGTTAGGACTATAGGGTTTTTGTGATTTTCTGACTTGGCGATGGTAGTTCTCTGGTCAGGCTTAACAGATAACTGAATGGTGTCTATATCAAGGGTTTTGTTCTGAAATGAAAAGGCCTTCGGGCTAGGGGGCTTGCTGCTGTCATCATTAGGAGTAGCTGGCGTGGTTAGTTTTGGGGAGTGTGATGAAGTGACGGTGACTGTTGGAAATATCTGTAGGATGCTGCTGGAAAAATGCTGGAAAAGCAGAACAAAACAGAACACCAAAAACAAAAGCCCTGGGCATCTGGTAAACATGTTTTCAAAAATACAAGCTATAGAAATGTGTTCTATGTCATAGCGAAGCATCTTTCAGGTGCCTCTTTTTTTTTTTTTTTGCGATGGAGTCTTGCTCTGTCACCAGGCTAGAATGCAGTAGTGCAATCTTGGCTCACTGCAACCTCTGCCTCCCGGGTTCAAGCGATTCTTCTGCCTCAGCCTCCCAAGTAGCTGGGATTGCAGGTGCACACCACCATGCCCAGCTAATTTTTGTATTTTTAGTAGAGACGAGGTTTCACCATGTTGGCCAGGATGGTCTCAATCTCCTGACCTTGTGATCCACCTGCCTTGGCCTCCCAAAGTGCTGGGATTATAGGCATGAGCCACCGCGCCCAGGCAGAGAGTGGGTGATTTTAATGTGACAAGTTATGTTTGCAGAGCAGACAGTCATGGCTTGTTCCCTCTGCATTTCCACCCTTCCTTGTGTTACCAAGAGTCCTGCCAATTGAACCTCTTGTCCCCATACAGTCTGTTCTGTCGTGCCCTACCTGGGCCGTGGGGTTTATCTCCTAGGAAACCCCCATAGGGGTTTGACCAGCTCCTGCTTCCTGGGCAACAGTGTGCCCAGCCCTAGAACTTGACAGTGGGGTCGGCTGTCTGCACCCAGTGACAGCCACCCTCATGGTGGCCCAACTGAGAAGCTCACTCTTCCCTCTCCCAACCTGCTGTGGCCCCGCTCCTGCCACCTCTTTCAAGGACCAGCCTCCTTACAAAGTCTTTCCCAGTCCTGCCCCTTGAAGAAACTCTCCTTCCTCCACACCTCTATTATGGGTTGTGCATCCCCCACAAAGATGAGCCATTCTGAAGTCCTAACTCTCAGGACCTCAAAATGTGACCTTATTTGGAAACAGGATCCTTGCAGATGTAATAGTTAAAGTTAGGTCACATTGGAGCAGGGTGGGCCGCTGACCCAATGTGACTGTGTTCTTATAAAAAGGAGACCGGTGAAGACCTAGGATTGGAGTGACACAGCCACAAGCCAAGGAACTCCAAAGATTGCTGCAGCCACCAGAAGCCAGGAAGAGGCAAGCAAGGACTTCCTAAGGTTTCAGAGGGAGCACGGCCCTGCACCACGCTGATGTCAGACTTCTGGCCTCTGGAACTATGAGATAGCCCATTTCTGTTGTTTGGAGCCACCCAGGTTGTCTTTGTTACAGCAGCCCTGAGGAACTAACCCAACCTCCATCCAGGAATGGATTGTATTTCCTGCTGCCAATGCTGGAGCAGGGTGGCTTCGTGGCCATGCAGCCCCTCAGAGGCACAGGGCCCTGCACTTGGGGTTTAGTGCTCTGTGATTGCTGTCTTGACATTCTTAATTATTTTATCAGGCTGGGCACGGTGGCTCATGCCTCTAATCCCAGCACTTTAGGAGGCCGAGGGGGGCGGATCACTTGAGGTCAGGAGTTTGAGACCAGCCTGGCCAGCATGGAGAAACCCCATCTCTACTAAAAATACAAAAAATTAGCCAGGTGTGGTGGTGGACACCTGTAGCCCCAGCTGTTTGGGAGGCTGAGGCAGGAGAATCACTTGAACCTGGAAGGTGGAAGTTGCAGTGAGCCAAGATTGCGCCACTGCACTCTAGCCTGGGTGACAGAGTGAGACTCTTGTCTCCAAAACAAAACAAAACAAAACAAAACAAAAAAAACTTTATTTTATCTTTGAATTTGTGTGGTGTAAGTGAGGCCTCATTGGACAGTGGAGCATACGTGAGCACTTGGAGCCTGCCTCATGTGTGCTCCCATCTGCTGCTGGTCCGCCACCTCTCCCAGGCACATTATTGACTGCTCGTCTCCCTCCCTTTGGTGTCCTGGGCCCCACATGGCCTCCCCATCCCCACCCTCACCCAGCAACCGCTGGTGCCCTCCATGGTCTGCGGGAACCTGAGTGTGTATGTGTGGAGGGGTGTGGGGTTGACATCAGATGCTTTTACTACACTACCCGTGGCATCTCAGGGTGGGCGTGGCCATGCAAGCAGCTGGTGGACTGTGTACCCACCAAGTCACTCGGCAGGGCCCCTGGGCAAGTGTGACAGTTGACACTCACCCTGTCCCAAGAAAGCATGATATTCAGTAGCAAATAAAAACACCATGATAGGTCAAAAGAGAGACCATGGAAGAAAGGGAAAAGCTTTCGTTTATTTTAGTTCCTTTGCTGGCCCATTCTTTTCCTGCTTTTTGAACAAGGGGCTCTGCATTTTTATTTTGCACTGGGCCTTTCAAATTTTGTGGCTGGCCCTGGTTGGGAGCTGCAAAGTGATGCTCCAACTTAGAAACGAGACACGGGATCCATCAGCTATGATACAAGATGAATTCCTGGTGGATTGGAACTCGGGCAAGCAGCCTCATGAAGAAACAAGGTATGCATGATGCTATTAGCAGGCAAGGGCCCTGGTCAGCTGAGACGGTCCTGCTTCCTCTGGATAGGGTATCCTGGCCACTGGAATATTTAAAACTAGGAAATTCAGAAAGTTATATTTGCACACTGGGATGTCTAATTTGTTTGTTATGCTGATCAGTGCAAAAAATCTTTTCCATAATTGTATTTGAATATTCATAAGTGTTGCTAGAAGAAAAAGTCAATTTCATGTCAAACCACCAAGGATCACATTTTCTTCACATGCTGCTCTTTTGCCAGGGAGAAGTGATTCAATGTATGTTGACAAAAAGCAGGACTGAGAAGAGCAGAACTGGTCCAAGAACTTATGAAATACCCACATTCAGGGAGACTTTCTCTAAGGAGAAACATCCCTCTTCAGAAGTCTGGGGAGCTTGCATACTGAGTAGAAAGGCAGAGCCGTACCTCCCTGGAGAGTCTCTGAAGACCTCATCTGCCCAGCCATCCAGCGTGAGCTCTGGAAACCTTCTGCCTTTTAGTCTATGTCAAGACTAGAAGCCAAGCAAGGTGTCACAGCCCTTCATAACTGTTAATGAGAAATAGAACTGAACACTATCCAAGGCAAAAAGACAGACTCTGTTGAGCACTACTGCAAAAGGAAAGCGCCGAGCACAATTCCCAACACAAGGACAAGTGGGGATTTACAGCCCAGGAACAGGGTGGAGGTGGGGGGTTGGCAGATGGAAAACAGAGGGGACCTTGACGGTAGGGGGGTATCTTGCTAAACTAACTTAACAGGACACCTGCTGCAGGCAGGCCAGGATGATTGGATACTAAAGGCAGAAGAGGACTTAACAGGATTCTTTGCTAAGACTGGCTCAGGCAGGCTGAGCACGGGGTCCAAGGATGAGGCCTAGCTGAAAAAAGTGCCGGAGGAGTCTGTCTGAAGTTGGTCAAGCAGTGAGTTATTATCGTGCTCTCGGGAGGAAATGCAGAAAGGACTACCCTTAAATCAGGGGCAGCGGGGAGGGGAGAGGGGCTCAGGGAGGGAGGGCAGGCCTGAGGGTGCCTTCACTGGGGTCTCTCCGGCCAGCATCTGGAGTGGGACTCACTGCCCAGTTTCCCTGTGGTTGTCCAAGGCAAGTAAAGCTGCTTACAGATGCCCACACTCATGTCACCTTTAGATGCCCTGGAAGGAAGTTTGGTATGAAAGTGGCTTTGCATATCCCAGCTAGGAAAGTAGGGGCCACCTAATCCTGTTTCCAGGACTGCATTTGTGAGTGTTCCTGTGTGTGTTGTGCAGAGAGAAACATGAAGGAGAACTTGGCTCCAGCAGCGGTGGGAGAATGCAGGGCTTCATGCTGCATCCTGTGGCACCTGCAGCCCACTCCCTCCCCAGGGAGAGGTCAGGGGGACAGCATTTGGAGGCAAATGACACAAGCTTTCTGCAATAGGAAGGGGTTTGGGAAAGTCCATTTGAAGACTGGCTGCCCCGGAAGAGTCAGCAATGACCCTTGAGAATGCCCTTTACTGAGTGAGCCAGGCTGAGCTGTTCTGGAGTCTCTGGTGCACGCATCTGACGAAGACCCCTCTTCCTTGCTGTCTACACACAGCCGCTCAGAGCAGGCAGTCCAAGGAGAATCTGGGATGGGGGTGGCTGACTCTGTTCCCCCATGATCACACCTCCCTGGAGGGCTTACTCGCTTCACCCAGGTCCCTGATGTAAACTAAATATAAAATCCTAACCCTCTACTCATTGAACAGACCCCCTGTTGGCCAAGAGGATCCCAGAAAAAAGTTAAAAACGAAATTCCTGGCCACAATGGGAAGGGAGGTTGGACTCATGCCTTGTTACATGCCCTCCCTTTTGGAGTTTAGGCAGAACTGACCAGCATAAATGTTAAAATACAGATCATAAGACTAACAAAACAGACTCTTTGTGACAATAAGGTAGCAAATGATAAATAGGACCTAAGTCCATGTCAGGCAAGGATTAAGTCACACACCCCATGGGTCACTCTGACCCAGTGGTTTGGTTAACAGACTTCCTTAACTGAAAACATTCCTTTCTGCTGATTCAAAATTTTTAGACAAAGTTTTACTCTTTTAACCAATTGCAAATTGAAGACTCTGGAGTGACCTATGACCAGGAAGCCCCCACTTTAACATATTCTGCCTTTCTGGGCCAAATCAATGTCTAATCTTCATGTATTGATTTATGACTTTTTCATAACTTCTGCTTCCCTGAAATGTGTAAAACAGAGTTGCGATCTAACTGCCCTGAGACCACTGACTCAAGGCTTTTTCAGTTTATGTCTTTCCCTGGGCTGTTGTCACTCATACTAGCTCAGAATAAACCTCTTTCAAATAGTTTACAGAGTTTGGTTTTTCCATTAACACTGAGTGGGCTGCTCTCCCCAGCAATGGAAATGCAGTGCCCCTTGTTCAACAAGCAGGAAAGGAAAGTGCCAGCAAAGGCACTAATATGCAAAAGCTTTTCTCTTTCTAGCATGGTCTTTTATTTGCCATTGAATGTCATACTTTCTTGGGCACAGGGTGAATGTCAACTTTCACCCTTGTCTGGGGGCCCTGCAGGCCACCAGCTATTCCTATGCCGTACCTACCCTGAGACCTTGTGGGGCAAAGGCATCGGACGTCAGTCTTCCCCCCACCACCTGGGCCCCCAGTGACCACAGAGGACACTAGCGGTTCCTGGGTGGAGGTGGAGATGGGGAGTCCAGGTGTGGCCCAGGACACCAAAAGGAGGAGAGGATTGAGCAGTCAAGAACCTATCTTGGGCTGGGCACAGTGGCTCACTCTTGTAATCCCAGCACTTTGAGAGGCCAAGGCAGGCGGATTACCTGAGGTCAGGAGTTCAAGTCCAGCCTGGCCAACATGGTGAAACCGTGTCTACTAAAAATACAAAAATTAGTTGGGCGTGGTGGCAGGTGTCTGTAATCCCACCTACTCGGGACGCTGAGGCAGGGAGAATTGCTTGAAGCCAGGAAGCGGAGGTTGCAGTGAGCTGAGATCACAGCACTGCACTCTAGCCTGGGTGACAGAGTGGGACTCAGTCTCAAAATAATAATAATAAGAAGAAGAACCTGTCTTGGGGAGGTAGGGAGGCAGTGGCAGGTGGGAGCACACATGAGCTAGGGTCCAAACACTCACATATGTGCCACTGTCCAAGACCTCTCATATACCACACAAATTCAAAGATAAATTAAGAATTTTGGCTGGGTGCGGTGGCTCACGCCTGTAATCCCAGCACTTTGGGAGGCTGAGGCGGGCGGATCACGAGGTCAGGAGTTAGGGACCAGCTTGGTCAATATGGTGAAACCCCGTCTCTACTAAAAATAAAAAAATTAGCCAGGCGTGGTGGCGTGCACCTGTAGTCCCAGCTACACGGGAGGCTGAGGCAGAAGAATCACTTGAACCTGGGAGGTGGAGGTTGCAGTGAGCTGAGATCACGCCATTGCACTCCAGCCTGGGCCACAGAGCGAGACTCCATCCAAAAAAAAAAAAAAAATCACCAGGCTGGGCAACAGAGGGAGACCCCATCTCTAAAAAATAATAATAATAATAATAAAAACAATTAGCCTTGCATAGTGGCATGTGGCTATAGTCCTAGCTACTCAGGAGGCTGAGGCGGGAGGATCCCTGGAGCCCAGGAGTTGGAAGCTGCAGTGAGCTATGATCCCACTACTGCACTCCAGCCTGGGTAAGAGAGTGAGATTCAGTTTCTAAACAAAAAACAAAACAACAAAGACTGCAACCGCAGAACACTGAGCCCCAAGTGAGTGCAGGGCCCTGTGCCTCTGAGGGTCTGCATGCCTAGGAAGCCGCCCTGCCCCCGACATCGGCAGCAGGAAGTGCGATCCATTCCTGGATGGAGGTTGGGTGAGTTCCCCAGGGCAGGCAGTATTAATGCGAATGACCGTTAATTTTCTCGGGAGGGTGGCACCGTCAACTAATTAGGAATGCTGTCTACTTTGGCTCATTGTGTGTTCAAGGATAAGATGACAAAACAAAATAGTCTGGATGATTTTGAGAGCTTAGCTGCATTTCATTCCTCTTACCTCTGAGTTTTAACGTAAGTCAGGGGCCTCCTCATGCAAGATTTATACTGCTCACAGTTCCTCTCAATTTTTTCCTCCGATTTGTCTATCCATTTTCCCCAGAGGACAGTGAATCGGGGCTCTTGACAGCCTGCTTCACCTAAGAGCGCCAATCAATCCTCCCGCAGGGTTTCCACTGAGCTTTGGCTGCTAAGTACATTTACGCAACCGAGCCGACGGGCTGTGCCTGCAGGCAACGGCGTCCGCCAATTTCCGTTCATTTAACGGCGAGACTGGGGGAGCCCGGGCCGGCAGGCGGGTCCTCAGGAAGCGCAAATTTCACCTTCCCTGACTCCTCTCACCGCTAGATTAAAACTGCGCCCCTCGGTGGCTCAAGCCTGTAATTCCAGCACTTTGGGAGGCAGAGGTGGGTAGATCACCTGAAGTCAGGAGTTTGAGACCAGCCTGGCTAACATGATGAAACCCCGTCTCTACTAAAAATACAAAAATTAGCTGGGCGTGGTGGCACGCGCCAGTAATCCCAGCTACTCAGGAGGCTGAGGCGGGAGAATTGCTTGAACCCGGGAGGCGGAGGTTGCAGTGAGCCGAGATCACGCCATTGCACTCCAGCCTGGGCAACAAGAGCGAGACTCCATCTCAACCAACCAACCAAACCAAACCAAAATAAAACAAAACAAAAACCTGCGCCCCTCCTCATGGCTCTTCTTTTGGCATAGCACCTGCAAAATATCTTCCTTATTTATTGTTTGTGCCCGTTAGAACATAAGCTCCAGGCAGGCACAGGAGCAGGACTCAGGGGTCGGTGAACGTGACGGGAGTCCAAAGTCAGTGGGGGATCCATCTTGTCTTAGGAGAGCAAAGACCTTCTCTCTGTCCTCCCCAGTTCCATAGCTGGCTCTATGAAATTAACTGCCAACGGGCAGATGAACGGGGGGAACGGGAATACACATTTATTAATCTTTAATATCACCTGCATGGGGGCATTGCAGGAAACTAGGTGAAAACCCCCCAAACCAGTGAGCTTTGAGAGCTTCTAAAATTGGGGAACTGGAAGCTGGTGTAGGCCACTTAGGGGAGAGTAACTGATTTTTAGGAAAGATGCATAAGTCTTTATGAGTTTGTGACAAAGTTTGTCTAGGTGTGGTGTGGACTTCTGCTGTGATAAGAGTCCATCCTCCCGGGAGGGAATTTACGACAATCAGTTTCTTTTGGAGGTTCCGTCTTTAGACAGGTAAGGGGAGAACGTCTCTCTGCATTTGCTATTTTTCAAGTGCCTCTCGCTCAAAATAATCAATATACCAAAGCGGCATATTTTAGGATGGCATATTTTGGTTTCATTCACTGTCTTTAAGTTTTTGATATTTTGTTCATTATAAACTTTTTTTGCATTCATTTTGACTTTTTAAGATATTGTATTAAAACATTATTTACCTTGACTACTGAGTTTTTTTGTCGCGCCCTTAAATTTTGCCCCTATGCGAGTGCCTCGCTCGCTTGCCTCCTTCTAGCCCGGGTCTGGCAGGGAGTTGAAATTATTTTTCTCACTGCTGAATTCCCAGGGCCTACAACAGTGCTCGCCAAAAAATTAATACTCTTGGTTCTTCAAATAAAACATTCTGTAAGGACTGCTCCCAATTTCTTCCTGAACTTCACGAACCCTCCCAGCCAGGCCACAGGATGTCAGGGGCAAACACCCTGAACCAACGGAGCTCAGGTTCCCTACCACCCCGCCCAAGCCCGCTCCAAGCCCAATTACCCTTCCCCTTCCTCGTCGTCCCATCCTCCCTGATGCCTCTTCCAGGGTGCTGGGCCGCGCGGCAAGAGCTCCAAGGCAAGATTCAAATGCCCTGGGGAGACGGCTGCGGGACACCTGCGGCGGGGCCCGGCAGGGAGCGCGAGACTGGAAGAGAGGCCAGGAGGGAAGGAGAGCGACGCGGGGTTTTGGGGGAGGGGCTGCGTGGGGCGCTGAAGGGGAGCGCGAGGAGTGGGAGGAAGTGAAGGAGGAGGAAGAGCACGGTGTGGGGGAAGCGCAGGAGGCAATAGGTGGGGCGGGACGGAGGGCAGGGCGCTGCGTCGGGAGAAAGTGTAGAAGCGCTGGGGAGAGTGCCCACGACGGGAGAGCCCAGGGGCGCGAGGGCGCGGGAGTGTGGGCGGGGCGCAGTGGGGATGGGGGCGGGGGCGCGGGATGTGGTAGGGGGCGTAGTGGGGAGAGAGTGCAGGAGTGTGGGCAGGGCGCAGTGTGGGGAGGGTGCGGGAGTGTGAGCGGGGCGCAGTGGAGGGAGTGCAGGATGTGGGCTGGACAACCAGTGGGAGAGGGCGCGGGAGGTGGGCGGGGCGCAGTCGGGATGGGGGCGGGGGCGCGGGATGTCGGCGGGCCGCAGTGAGGGGGAGGGCGCGGGAGTGTGGGCGGGGCGCAGTGGGGGAGGGAGCGGGAGTGTGCGCGGGGCGCAGTGAGGGGAAACTGTGGAATGTGGGCGAGGCGCAGTTGGAGAAGAGTGCGGGGATGTGGGCGGGGCGCAGTGAGGGGAAACTGTGGAATGTGGGCGAGGCGCAGTTGGAGGAGAGTGCGGGGATGTGGGCGGGGTGCGGTGGGGGAGGGTGCGGAGATGTGGGCGGGGCGCAGTGGGTGGAGAGTGTAGGGATGTGGGCCCAGCGCAGTGGGGGACAGTGTGGGGATGCGGGCGAGGCGCAGTGGGGGCGGGGGCGGGGATGTGGGCGGGGCGCAGTGGGTGGAGAGTGCGGGATGTGGGCGGGGCGCAGTGGGTGGAGAGTGCGGAATGTGGGCGGGGCGCAGTTGGGGAGCTTGCGGGGAATGTGGGCGGGGCGCAGTGGTGGGAGGGCGCAGGAGTGTGGGCGGGGCGCAGTTGGGGGAGGGTGCAGAGACCTGAGGGCTTGAGGTTGCCTGGCTGGCCCCGCTCCCAGAGGCGGGTGCCGCGCTGTCGCCCAGGTATCTGGGGTCTCTGGTGTCTGAGTGTCTCATTGTCGGCGCGAACACAATTGCTCCAGCCACAGGCGAGGCCTGGCCAAGGTGTGGGCGCATCTGGGGCAGGTCTTGAGAGGTCCAGCGCCCGGTGGTGCGGACAGAGGCGGGGCACCGCGGCGCTCGCCGCCGCCTCCCCGCAGGTGATCATCCTCCTGCAGGTGTCCTCGGGTCTCAGGTGGCTGCGTGTCTGCGCCATGGTTGACATTCTGGGCGAGCGGCACCTGGTGACCTGTAAGGGCGCGACGGTGGAGGCCGAGGCGGCGCTGCAGAACAAGGTGGTGGCACTGTACTTCGCGGCGGCCCGGTGCGCGCCGAGCCGCGACTTCACGCCGCTGCTCTGCGACTTCTATACGGCGCTGGTGGCCGAGGCGCGGCGGCCCGCGCCCTTCGAAGTGGTCTTCGTGTCAGCCGACGGCAGCTCCCAGGAGATGCTGGACTTCATGCGCGAGCTGCATGGCGCCTGGCTGGCGCTGCCCTTCCACGACCCCTACCGGCAGTGAGTGGGGGTCCTGGGGGGGCGGGGGCCGCCCGGCACGTCTCCCCCATGTTCCCCCAGGCCTCCCCCTCTGCACTGGGGAGCTCTTTATGACGCCCCCCCCCAACACCTCCCCGTCTCTCGGTTCACGTCCGGACTCCGGTAAATCACACTCAGTCTCAGTTTCAACCTCTCTTGGAGACCAGGGAGGGTGCAGACCAGATTCGAAAACCCAGGGCATCGGCACCCCAAGGGGGCTCGTGGAGCATGGACGCGGGCGCGTTTCTGCCTGGGGTCTGGAGCTCCGGGAATCTGCATTGCGAAGGAGCTCCCAGTGGTGGTGATGCTGTGAGTTCGCGGGCTCGGCTCCGGGAACCGCCGGCCCAATCAGCCCTGGACTCCCGGCGCCGCTGCGTCATCCTCCCAGTTAGTGGGCAGGAAGCACAGGGACATGACCCGGTGTCTGGATGCGGGGATGAGGGATGACCCGCGAGGACATCAGCTCTGTGACAGGCACCCACAGTGCAGGCCGTGGTTGGTTTGCTGGGAGGGAGGGACGGGGGCTTCAAGGCTGGCAGGAACCCAGGTGCTGGCCACCTTTGCGGTTTCATTTTTACCGACACTGATGGAATTTCATCACTAGAGAAGCATAAAACTCATTACTATAAACTTTATTACTCTAACTGTTGCAAAGGAGGGGGTAGGGATTGGCAGAGAGGGGATTACAGGGATTGATTGTTCTGCTTTTGGGGTGGGTCTCCTGTGGTCTCCTATGGTGTAAGAGTCCAGACTTAGGTTTAAAGCAGGCCTCGTCAAGTATGTTGTCCTGGCCACCCCCTTCTAGGTACCAATGTGAATTTCTGGGTTTTGCTTTACAGCCTCACATTTCTGGAGATTATCATTAAGTTGTGGCATTACCCCCTAAACTGATTATCATGAGATGACATTCCTTCTGGAAAATGAAAACTGGAAGCTAACTTTGGAAAGTTTTGTAGATGAGTAATTAATGGGAAGAAATCTAATTATTCCCCCAAACATGATTTTTGGTGATTCCCAGTGAAAGAGGAGGCCCAGGCAGGGCACCGCCCAGCCTTCCAGGGGGGTAACCTGCTTCTGGGAGCCTCACTCACACCGGGACTCTGAAAGTTCTATTGATAATGAATCTCCAAGATGGGTGGTTCACTTTGCAAAAGGATTTCTTACAGAATCAGTTCAAGTGGTGCTTTTAAAAACAGGATTGGACTTGTTTAGTACTCAAGTTATTTGTAAGCTTTTGAAAGAACGCAGGTTTGAAAGCGAGAGACGATGGCAGTATCATTATAGTAATTAGGCACAAAGCTCTGGCCCAGCTCTGGGATTTACTTGCCAGGTGATGGCAGGCAAGGTATTTTATTGCTGAGCATATGATACATCACGTGGTTGTTGTCAGGGTTGAGCTGATCACATATGAGCTCATGTGTCCGCTGGTTATGTCCCAGCTCTCTAGTCTATTGCCCCATTTTACAGATGTGCCATTGAGGCATAGAGTTCAGTTCTCCTGGCTCTGAGGACCCTCTTTCTGCCGTGCCCTACTTCCTCACTGAGGGGGTGGTGAGTCTTGGTCCCCAGCGGCACACAGATTGGACTGGGGAGGTCATCGCTTGGGGCCATGGAGACTGCTCGTCTGTTTCTGATGCTCTGGTCAAGCCTGTGAGCTCCAGCTGGAGGCAGTGAGCTGCGTGACGTGGGTCAGCTGTGTGCTCCTATCTTCTCAGCCTGGCTGGCCTGGGAGGGATTTTTCTTTTTGTAAACTTAGCTGTTTGTCCCTACCCCTTTCCACACTGAACTTCCTTAACTCTGTTGTTGTCATGTGTAAGCTAGGTAGTGGGATATTCTGTGGGAATTGTTGGAGCTACGCCCTAAATTCTGCTTATCCTACGTCTACAGGACCTTGGTGTTCCCATCTGATTGGCTCTTGGTTCAAAGACCAATCCGGTTTAGCCATGCCTTGCTCCAACTCTCCGGGGGTTTCCTGAGTTTCCATTGCCCACAGGACAGAGCCAGACATGGTTCAGTGCCTGGCATCCCCAGGGAGTGTGTTTGGTGAGTAGTTGAAGCAAGTGAGCAAAAGACAGTTCTGCAGAGAGATTTGCTTGGCCACAGCCTGCTCCTGGCTGAGATGACAGACTAGAGTCAGGAGTTGCCATGGCAACCCAGAAGTGTGGTTTATGCCAGCAACAAGGATGTGGCTGTGTTAGTTGAAGGCAGGGACCAACGCTGGTTGCAACAGTGCTGAGGACAAGGAGGAACTGGGCTCTTGGATTTTCCCCAAATGCTTAAAGTCCTAAGTTATTACCATGACAACATTCTCTCCTCCAAAAGCAAGTTCTTTTCTCTGTGGACACAGCTCAGGGCCCAGAGGGGATTGAGATGACATTAGGGAAAAAGTGAGGTTCTTTGCCTCTCATGTGCAGCTCCAAGGTTACATTTGTCCCCAGGCAGAGGCTGCCAGCATGGGGATTTGAGGGCTGGTACTGAGTGTCTCTTGGAATATCAGTGAAATGACCACCTCCACCCTCCTGATTCCTCAAAGCCCAGCCTGCTCTGCATCCCCCTGACTGTGTTAGAGCTTGATTTAATGTTGCAAGTGATTAAAACAGCAGCAATGAGAACAACTCAAAGAGCTTGAACAGTAAAGGTTATGGGCTGGCTTTAATGAGACACCCATCAGCCAGAAGATGGTGTCAAGGGCAAGCTGGAGGCCACGGAGGATGCAGCTTTGTGGCTCGCCTTCTGCCACGTCTGCCCCTTGCTCAGGCTGCAGGCAGTTGCTGCCTGGCAAATCCTGTGTCTCCTCACGGTGGCAGAATGGCTGCTGTGTCTCAGACTGCGCATTCCTGTACTTTCCTCTTTCCCAGCACACAGCCAGGTGCTGCACCACGCCTCATTGATTCTGATTTGGCTAGTTCCCCATTTCTGTACTATTAAGTGTAGCCAGGGGCCACCAGATAGATATGCTGACTGAGCAGTTGGCCCAGGTGGAATTGGAGGTGGGTCTTTCCCACACAGTAAGAACAGCTAGCATTTATCAAGTACTTATTATGTGCCAAGCCTCATTCTTCATTAAGCTGTTTATTTAATCCTCACAACAACTCCAGGAGGTGGATTCTGTTATTCCCGTGGTGTAGATGAGGAATCCGAGGTGCAGGAGGTTAACTAGCCTGCCCATGACACACAGCTAGTTCATGCCAGAAAATGAAGGAGACATGGTTTCCCAAGGAGGGTCACAGATGCTGAGCAGCAAACCACAGGCCTGTACTCCCCGTGCTGTCAGGGGCACCATGCCCAGCCTCCTCTCCGCTTGCTGTCTCCTACCTCCTCCCAGTTGGTGCAGGGGATGCAGAAAGCCCTGGAAGACTGCTGTGGGATTGGCCAACTTGAGCAAGCATAAACCACCAGATCTTGGGCACTGCCCCAGCGTCAGAGGTGGGGAGATTGCATTTCTGATGAGTTTCCAGGTGATGTTGGTGTTGCTGCTCCTGGGACCCCATATTGTTCCTGACAGTGCTGGTCAAAGGCTGGTGCATGGACCCATGTCAGTTGGGAATCTGTCAGGAGTGCAGATGCTGTCGGACCTGGGGGTGCTCAGGAATCTGTAGGTGAGATACTGCTGCTGCTGCTGCTGGCATCCCAACCCCTTCACGACCCACCAGCAGCCCTCCAAGGAGTCCTCATGGCCTTGGGGAAGAGGTTCCAGGTTCCTGAGATAACAGAGTCCCACCTGGTCTGGCCCCAGCCGGACCGTCTACTTTCCTTTCTGGAAGTGACGTGTGCGAGCCCTGCCCTGTCCCACTGCCCAAAGTACAGATGCTAAAATAACCCATTTGCCAAAACTGCTGGATAAAGAGCTTAAATCAGGCTGCTGGCCATTTTGCTGCAGTCTTTATGCAAAGAGTTACTTGGTTGTTTCTCGTTTCTTCACCTTTTTCTTTCTTTCTTTTTTATTTTCTGAGATGGAGTTTCGCTCTTGTTGCCCAGGCTAGAGTGCAATGGCGCAGGCTCAGCTCACTGCAACCTCTGCCTCCTGGGTTCAAGTGATTCTCCTGCCTCAGCCTCCCAAGTAGCTGGGATTACAGACACCCACCACCACACCCGGCTAATTTTCGTATTTTTAGTAGACACAGGGTTTCGCCATGTGAACAGGTCTCGAACTCCTGACCTCAGGTGATGCACCCATCTTGGCCTCCCAAATTGCTAGGATTACAGGCGTGAGCCACCGCACCTGGCCACACATTTTTGTTTTATGCCTTTGGGGAAAGCTAATTGCTTAGGCATTTTAAATTTTAGGTGTTGTGCGGCCGGGCGTGGTGGCTCACGCCTGTAATCCCAGCACTTTGGGAGGCCGAGGCGGGTGGATCACAAAGTCAGGAGATCGAAACCATCCTGGCTAACACGGTGAAACCCTGTCTCTACTAAAAATACAAAAAATTAGCCAGGCATGGTGGCGGGCGCCTGTGGTCCCCGCTACTCTGGAGGCTGAGGCAGGAGAATGGCGTGAACCTGGGAGGCGGAGGTTGCAGTGAGCCGAGATTGTACCACTGCACTCCAGTCTGGGCGAAAGAGCGAGACTCCATCTTAAAAAAAAAAAAAAAATAGGTGTTGTGCAGGATTCTTAAGATGCTAGAGAGGGACATCTCTGCCACATCTTTCATGCTGACTGCTGTGGTTCATTGACCTGTCCAGGCTCCATCTGGCCGAGTTCCACACGCGCCTCCCCTGTTGTGAGCACTCATGGCTGTTCGTGAAGGAGTTGGTGTCCCCTAAACCTGCAGTTTGACATGAATTCACATCTGCTCTGTGTTTGAGACATGACTTTCTCAGTTCTGCAAATACAGTTTTGGCTGAGTGGTCTCTGCTGTGTCTTTTTTTCACTGTGCATGATAGGTTTTAGAGAATAGTTTACATTTTTATTTTTTCCCACTTTTCCTTTCCCTCCCCAGGTGAGTCATTGGACACCACAGGGAGCAGGTCCGGACTGCCGGGGTGGGGGCTGTGTCCATTGGTTCTTTGGGGAATAGGCCTGTCCTGGCAGGGGTCATGCAGCCCCAGAAAGGCCACAGCCCTCCCAACAGTGTCCCCTCAAGGAGGTTCAGTCCACACTGGGCCTGTGTAATGACCAGGTTGGCCTCATTTTTGATATTCTTGTGCCTTCTCTCTTTTTCCTTGCTCAATCTCAGTAGATTTTTTTTTTTTTTTTTTTTTTTTTTTGGAGCTAGGGTCTTGCACCATCATCCAGGCTGGAGTGCAGTGGTGTGGTCACAGCTCCCTGCAACCTTGAACTCCTGGGTTCAAGCGATCCTCATGCCTCAGCCTCCCAAGTAGCTGAGCCTACAGGTGTGCACAGCCACACCTGGTTATTTTTTTTTATTTTGTGGAGATAGGGTCTTGTCATGTCACCCACCAGTGTCCCCTCAAGGAGGTTCAGTCCACACTGGGCCTGTGTAATGACCAGGCTGGCCTGATTTTTGATATTCTTCTGCATTCTCTCTTTTTCCTTGCTCAATCTCAGTAGACATTTTTTTTAGAGCTAGGGTCTTGCACCGTCATCCAGGCTGGAGTGCAGTGGTGTGATCACAGCTCCCTGCAACCTCAAACTCCTGGGTTCAAGCAATCCTCCTGCCTCAGCCTCCCAAGTAGCTGGGACTACAGGTGCGTGCAACCACACCTGGTTAATTTTTTTTTATTTTGTGGAGACAGGGTCTTGTCATGTCACCCAGGGATGTCTTGAACTCTTGGGCTCAAGTGATCCTCTCACCTTGACCTCCCAAAGTGCTGGGATTACAGGCGTGAGCCACTGTGCCCAGGCTCGGTAGAGATTTGTTTCACATTTTAGTGTTTCCTGAGAACCAGGTTGGGTTTTATTGGTCACCCCATGTTGGTTTTTGTTGGTTCATTTCCTATGTCAGTAATTTTTGTTCTCAATCTTATTCTGCCTTCTTTCTACTTTCTTTGTGTTTGTGCCATCCTTATTTTTCTAGCTTCTTGAATTAGATCCATAAGTCATCTATATACTAAAGTTTTGGATAAGCGTTTTTAAGGCTACAGCTTCCTAAGTGTGTTTAATTGTGTTTACAGCTTGGGATTTGTAGTATATTCCATATTGTTTTGTTTTAAATACTTTGTCATCTGCGTTACTATTTCCCATATAACATACAGTTAGTTTTAAAACTCATTCTTAAAAATGATTTCTTTTTGGCTGAGCACAGTGGCTCATGCCTGTAATCCCAGCACTTTGGGAGGCCGAGGTAGGCGGATCACGAGGTCAGGAGATCGAGACCATCCTGGCTAACATGGTGAAACCCCGTCTCTACTAAAAAAATACAAAAAAATTAGCCAGGCATGGTGGTGGGCGCCTGTAGTCCCAGCTACTCGGGAGGCTGAGGCAGGAGAATGGCATGAACCCAGGAGGCGGAGCTTGCAGTAAGCCGAGATTGCGTCACTGCACTCCAGCCTGGGCGACAGAGCAAGACTCCATCTCAAAAAACAAAAAAACAAAAAACAAAAAACAAACGAACGAACAAAAAAATATATATTTTTTTATTTTTATTTTTTGAGACAGAGTCTCACTCTGTCACCCAGGCTGGAGTGCAGTGGCGCGATCTCGGCTCACTGCAACTTCCGCCTGCTGGATTCAAGCAATTCTCTGGCCTCAGCCTCCCAAGTAGCTGGGACCACAAATGCGTGCCACCATGCCCGGCTAATTTTTTGTATTTTTAGCAGAGACAGGGTTTCACCGTGCTGGCCAGGCTGGTCTCAAACTCCTGACTTCATGATCTGCCCACCTCAGCCTCCCAAAGTGCTGGGATTACAGGCATGTGCCACCCGCACCCGGCCCCAAAAATGGTTTCTTATTGGTTTCCAATTCCATTACCATTGGTCTGATTAAGTGATCTATATGTTATTGACCACTTGAAATTCATTAATACTTCCTTTGTGACTTGAGAACATGATTGATTTTGTCACTGCTTCATAGATGTTTGGAAATAAACCATATTCTCTCTCTGTTGAGCGTAGGGGACCCTGTATTTTTTCCTGCTTGAGTGATGGTGTGTCTTTGACCTGGATGCCAGAAAGTGGCAGGAAGAACTTGAGGGACGTGTCAAAGGGGAGATTTGCTAATAGGAGGGTCTCAAATGGGTTTTTCCTTCCACTCGGGTTCACAATCCTGAGGGTGACAGATCAAGGAAATCCGATTACTGTCACTGTGAGGCCCTGGTGACCTGGCCATGGTAAACAGGAAAGGGATTTCACCCGGCTGCCCTGTCTTGAGGGAGTAATCCCAGTGAAGATTACGAGAACTGCAAAACCAAGAAGGCAGATGCTCGTTTCCCTAAATGAATACAAATAATTTTGTAAAAAGACCACTCATCAGGTTATAGATACTGTAAATGTAAATGATGTAAAATGAGGCTAAGAAACCTCTCATCATGATAATGGCAATTGGTGCATCACTGAATTTGTAGGGTGGAAAGTCAAGTGAAGCTCTAGATGTATTTAGAACTCATGGAATTTTAACTTTTTTTTTTTTTTTCCTTAGAAATGGGGTCTGCCGCCCAGGCTGGAATGTAGAGGCACTAACACGGCTCACTGCAGCCTCGACCTCCTGGGCTCAAGCGATCCTCCCACCTCAGCCTGTCGAGTAGCTGGGACTATAGGTGCATGCTACCACGCCTAGCTAATTTTTTAACTTTTGTAGAGACAAGGTCTCACTATGTTGCCCAGGCTGGTCTTGAACTCTTGGACTTAAGCCATCTTCCCACCTCAGTCTCCTGAAGTGCTGGGATTACAGGTGTCAGCAACCACACCTGGCTGGAATTTTAACTTTTACCATTATATGTACCTGATATTTTTCAACCCCTTGAGATGTAGAGGACATAAAAAATTACTGGGTTTATTTGTGGGTTTAGACCTGCACTATCCAATCTGGTAGCCACTAGCCACTTGTGACAACTTAAATTTAAATTAAAAGTTAATTAAAATGAAAACTTCAGTTCCTTAGGCACACTAGCCACATTCTGAGCTCTCCCAGCCATACGTGGCTGGTGGCTACTGGATTGGGTAGCACAGATACGGAGAGTTCACTGCTGCAGGCAGCTCTCTGGTGTGGAATTGGGTTAGAAATGGTAGCACCAAGGCTGGGCGTGGTGGCTAACGCCTGTAATCCCAGCATTTTGGGAGGCCAAGGCGGGCAGATCACTTGAGGCCCGGAGGTCGAGGCCAGTCTGGCCAACATGGTGAAACCCCATCTCTACTAAAAATACAAAAAATTAGCTGGATGTGGTGGCACATACCTGTAATCCCAGCTACTTGGGAGGCTGAGGCAGGAGAATCGCTTGAACGTGGGAGGTGGAGGTTGCAGTGAGCCGAGATCGCGCCATTGCACTCTAGCCTGGGCGACAAGAACAAAACTCCATCTCAAAAAAGAAAAAGAAAAAGAAAAAGAAATAGTAGCACCAAGAAGAAAGGAGCCCCCACCCCAGCAGGAGGGAGAGCAGGAGCAGGCTGGGTGGGGCACCTGGTGGCTTCCTCCAAGTTGGCTGTACCTCAGGCTGGAGGGAGGGGGCGTGTCCCTTCAGATGTGCATGTGGGAGTGCTAACTTCGGTACCACTCTTCTGTCCTGCAGTGAGCTGAGGAAGAGGTACAACGTCACAGCCATCCCCAAGCTTGTGATTGTGAAACAAAATGGGGAGGTCATCACCAACAAAGGGCGGAAGCAGATCCGGGAACGGGGGTTGGCCTGCTTCCAGGACTGGGTGGAGGCGGCCGATATCTTCCAGAATTTCTCCGTTTGAAGTGGGAGGGACCTCAGAGGGCCAGGACAGGTGCTGCTTCTCCAGCACCGACGCTGGGGCAAAGAGGAGCATGTTGGGTTCCTTCCTCTGTTGGTGTGATTTCATTGTATTTCAGAGCAGAAGCACTAAGCTGTGGTCAAAAAGCAACTATTGCTCAGGAAATAATACACTCCATATTTTGATCATGCAGGCTGTTTGTATTATAGTTATTTTTGTTATTCTTTGCATACCTTTATCCACCTGTGCTTAAGGAAGGATCCTCATATGTTCATACTGAGCTGTTGGAAATCTATGCAAGACATTTATTTGTACAAGTCTCTTCAGGTAAAATAATATATTTATTGATAACATTTTCTGGCGATCTGTTTATTTTAATGGTATGCTTTCACAACTATCTTAATAAAGTTTGCAAGCTGTGTACTTTAATAAACAAGTCTATTGCCTTCTTTCTCATTCCATTCCAGGTGCCAGTAGGAAGAAAAGGAGTCTCTTGACAAATACCATGCTTAAATATGTCTTATTTGTCACAGGTGCTAGTTTTTAATTATATGTCATCTTGGAATTTTCTTCTTCTCTTTGTTTTCTTTACACTTATTTGTAACAGTATTACAATATCCTAGAAAGCAATGAAATTTTCAAGGGTGTGTTTTCACATCTTCAAGATCAAACCTCAGTGTTACCTAAAAGTTAATAATCCATCGAAGTAAACAATCTTTATTAATGGTGGTGAAAGCCGTCAGTGGTTCAGATTACTGTCCCAGCTTCCCCTGTGGCCTCTTGCTGGCGGTCTTTCCTGTTTCTTTCCAGCCTCATTCTTATCCAATCAGCTGGGATTGTGAAAATACCGATACCCATCTCTAGCCAAGTCCTCACCTGCAGATCTGGTCAGCTTGCTGGGTTCCTCAGCTGAGAATTTGGAGCAAAGCTGACACCAGTAGGACCAGCAATAGTAGAGTAAGGAAGCCCAGTGGGTGATACTCAGTGAACCTGTGCCACTGAGACATAAGCTGTTAATTAATTAGTCCCTTCAATCTCCCTCACCCTCTGCGCTGTCAGTTAACTTCCCTGACCACTGAGACCCAGCCTCCTGGGGGCCCTGTGGGTTGACTAAGGATGCATTTACACTAACCTCATTGTTATTCGTGCCCCAAATAAGTCATGTAGAAATGCAGTTTTCTTCCAAAACTCAGAGATGAAATATTTATTTAATTATGGCTTTTTCTTTTCTTTTTTTTTGAGATGGAGTTTCACTCTTGTTGCCCAGCCTGGAGTGCAATGGCGCGGTCTCAGCTCACTGCAACCTCCGCCTCCTGGGTTCAAGTGATTCTCTTGTCTCAGCCTCCCGAGTAGCTGGGATTACAGGCGCCCGCCACCACGCCCAGCGAATTTTTGTATTTTTAGTAGAGACAGGGTTTCATCATATTGGTCAGGCTGGTCTCGAACTCCTTACCTCAGGTGATCCACCCGCCTCGGCCTCCCAAAGTGCTGGGATTACAGGCATGAGCCACCGTGCCCGGCCTAATTATGATATTTTTAATCACACATTCTTGGGAACTGGGTGGACATCTCTTGCATGTAGAGTATCCATAAACTGAGTGTTCGTGTGTGTGTGTGTGTGTGTGTGTGTGTGAGAACCACAACCACACACTTTTAAAAGGTAGAGAAACGGCCCTCCTGGTAAACGTGCTTGTAACTGCCAAGAACTGTGTTGGTGTTTGTGGGCTGGAAGATTTTGCTTTGGGGTGACTAGAGGGAGAGGCAGGGTCCACCTCGGCTGGGCTGGCCCTGTAGGACATGGGCCTTCGTCACCTAGGGCTGGGAGAGTGATGTGTCCTTTGAACCATTATTACTCCCTGAAGACACATTCTTTTTTTTTTTTTTTTTTTTTCTGAGACAGAGTCTCTGTCTCCCATGCTGGAGTGCAGCGGCACCATCTTGGCTCACTGCAATCTCTGCCTCCTGGGTTCAAGCGATTCTGTTGCCTCAGCCTCCCGAGTAGCTGGGATTAGAGGCGCCTGCCACCAAGCCCGGCTAATTTTGTATTTTTAGTTGAAATGGGGTTTCTTCATGTTGGCCAGGCTGGTCTCGAACTCCTGACCTCAAGTGATCCACCCGCTTCGGCCTCCCAGAGTGCTGTGATTACAGTCATGAGCCACCACGCTTGGCCGACACATACTTTAATATTATAACATCCCAAACAATTTTTCTTGACGTAAGGCAAAGTATTCCAGCCTTCTTTCCGAGAACTGTGTAATTTGTGACTATTTCTACAAGTGCCTTGTGCCCCTTGTGTTCCAGAAGCAATACGTGCTCACTGTGGACGAACATCAGGAAAAAGATTCCATCATCCTGAGGGAAAGCCATGATGGATGTTTTAGTCCATCTATATGTCCCCTAAAGTCACCACCTTTTTATTTTTTCCGTGTGTACACATTGCTTTTCATCTTTATACACTTGCCACCCTGCGTGTGGACATAGACAAGCAGTGGCAGTGTGATGTGGGCACCATGGGGCAGGGGTTGAAAGACATGCAGCATCGTGACCCAGCCCAGGCCCACGTCTCATCCAGACTCCCTGGTGAGCCCCGTGGGCGCTAACATCTGAGAAGCATGGCTCTGCAAAGGTGTCTTGTCCACTGAATTTGTTGAAGTCATTTCACTGATTTCAGCCCACAACTGGGGCATCTTTATCAAAGCCCAGGGTGCTCCACAAGCCATCAGGCCTGGGGCAGGTGGGGGCCCTCCCCTCTCCCAGGAGAGGCCTAGCCACTGGCATTCCTGCAGGAGCGCGTGCAGACCTCAGGGAGACTCATGAAATGCTGGTCACTGTGCACTGGAGAGGGGCAGTCACTGAGAGAACACACGTATACACCACACATATAACCTACACACACCACAAACACACACACAGACACAGACATTCCTAGAGAAAGGAAGAAGAGGGGTGACACAGAGCTCACCAGTCAGGAGAATTATGCTCTATTGGGCTGGACTGACTTAGGCCGAATTTACAAACACCATGGAGGTACCTTAAAACCCCATCCTTTCAGTAGGGTGTCCTATGCTAATTTTGATTGAAAAGAGCCTCTGTTTTAGTCATCTCCACTTTGCCAGCTATCTAGAATCTTTGAGCCATTTGGTAAACTGAATTACCCTTCTCTCCTGCATTTTTGTTTAAGAATTATCTGGGCTGGGCATGGTGGCTCATGCCTATAATCCCAGCACTTCCGGAGGCCGAGGTGGGTGGATTACCTAAGGTCAGAAGTTCAAGACCAGCCTGGCCAATGTGGTGAAACCCTGTCTCTACTAAAAATACAGAAATTAGCCAGGCATGGTGGCGGGCACCTGTAATTCCAGCTACCCGGGAGGCTGAGGCAGCAGAATCGCTGAACCCAGGAGGCAGAGGTTGCAGTGAGCCGAGATCATACCACTGCACTCCAGCCTGGGCAACAAAGAGCGAAACTCCATCTTAAAAAAAAAATAAAGAAAAAAGAATGATCTTATCTGATGAGTCAGGTGTGGTGGCTCACGCCTGTAATCCCAGCACTTTGGGAGGCCGAGGTGGGTGGATTGCCTGAGGTCAGGAGTTCAAGACCAGCCTGGACAACATGGTGAAACCCCGTCTCTACTAAAAATACAAAAATTAGCTGGGCGTGGTGGCAGGTGCCTGTAATCCCAGCTACTCAGGAGGCTGAGGCAGGAGAATTGCTTGAACCCAGGAGGTGGAGGTTGCAGTGTGCCAAGATCACACTATTGCACTCCAGCCTGGGCAACAAGAGGAAGACTTTTTCTCAAAAAAAAAAAAAAAAAAAAAAAAAAAAAAAAAAAAAAAAAAAGCTGGGTGCTGTAGCTCATGCCTGTAATCCTAGCACTTTTGGAGGCCAAGGTGTGTGGATCACGAGGTCAGGAGATGGAGACCATCCTGGCTAATATGGTGAAACCCTGTCTCTAAAATGGTGAAACCCTGTCTCTACTAAAAATACAAAAAAAAAATAGCCAGGCATGGTGGCATGCATCTGTAGTCCCAGCTACTCAGGAGGCTGAGGTGGGAGGCTGAGCCTGGGAGGCGGAGCTTGCAGTGAGCCGAGATGGCACCACTGCACTCCAGCCTGGGTAACAGAGCAAGACTCTGTCTCAAAAAAAAAAAAAAAAAAAGGAATTATCTTATCTGGCTGTTTGCTTTGTGTGTGTATTTTATTCTATGTACTTGCCATGACCTGAATGTTTCTGTCCGGTATAATCCATGTGTTGAAGTCCTAACCCCTAGGTGATGGTGGTGTTAGGAGGTGGGGCCTTTGGGAGGTGATTAGGTCAGGAGGGTGGGGTGGAGCCCTCATAAATGGGAGTAGTGTCCTCCTAGGAGAGACCCTTACCCCTTCTAATATATGAGGACACAGTGAGCAGATGCCATCTGTGAACAAGAAGTGGGCCCTTAGGAAACACAGAAGCTACTGCCATTTTGACCTTGGACTTACAGCCTCCAAAACTGTGAGCAATGCATTTCTATTATGATACACAGCCTCGTCTGTGGTATTTTGTGATAGCAGCCTGAACAGACAAAGACAGCGCCTATAAGTAGTCTAACCTGAACCCTCCACTGGCTATCCAGGTTTCCTCTCGAGATATGCAGACACATCCATTGGTCTGTCCCTTCTATCGTCTTGAAGAAACCTGTGCTGAAGCCTCCCAACATCTCCATAGGTTCTGGTGAGCTATGTTCCTGGTACATCTGTCAACCCGATGTCACCCTTTGGAATGATCCCCGGGCTGCTCCACGGCTCTCTCCTGCATTGAGTTTCTCTTTCTTGTCATTCTGTTTCTTGGTTTCCACCCTTGTTTTGTTGGAATACATCCTCTAATAGTTTCCTAAGAACAGGTGAAAGGGGGCAAACTCTTTGAAGCCTCCTGAGTCTGAAAAGCCTCCATTCTATATGTACTCACTGGATGAGTGGCAGGTGCAGAATTTAGGTTGGAAGTACTTTCCTTCAGTGATTTGAAGGCACCACCTCATAGCTTTTTTTTGTTTCTTTGTTATTGTTGAGAGATCCAACTACACTGTGACTCCTGGCCCTGTGAGTGGTTACTGTATTAGGCCATTCTTGCATTGCTATAGATACCTGAGACTGGCTCATGGTTCTGCAGGCTTTACAGGAAGCATGATGCTGGCATTTGCTTAGCTTCTTGGGAGGCCTCAGGAAGCTTACAACCATGGCAGAAGGTGAAAGGCGAGCAGGCATGTTACATGCCCAGAGCAGGAGCAAGAAAGGGAGGGGGAAGGTGCCACACACTTTTTTTGTTTTTTTAGATGGAGTTTTGCACTCGTTGCCCAGGCTGGAGTATAGTGGTGCTATCACTGCAACCTCCGCCTCCCAGGTTTAAGTGATCCTCCTGCCTCAGCCTCCTGAGTAGCTGCGATTACAGGCATGGGCCACCACGCCTGGCCAATTTTTTTGTATTTTTAGTAGAGATGGGATTTCTCCATTTTGGTCTCAAACTCCTGACCTCAGGTAATCTGCCCACCTCGGCCTCCCAAAGGTCTGGGATTACAGGCGTGAGCCACAGTGCCCGGCCTGCCACACACTTTTAAACTACCAGATCTTGCAAGAGCTCAGTCACTATTGCAAGGACAATACCAAGAGAATGGCACTAAACCATTCATGAGAAATCCACCCCCATGATCCAATCACCACCCACCAAGCCCCACCTCCAACAATGGGAGTTACAATTCAACATGATATTTGGGAAGGGACACACATCCAAACTACATCAGTGACCAAGCTGGACCTGGGTCTGCCCACCCAGCACAGCAAAGCTAAACACTAACATGGTGATGGCAGTGAGAGAAAGTGAGGCATTTATTGTGAGGTGCCAACAAGAATCAGGCAGCTCAGGCTTAAGACACAAATTTAATGGCTTACATGTAAGGGTTTTTAAAGGCGGGAGGCAGAGGTTACATGCAAAGTAATAAATGAATACATGGAAGCTACACATTGGTTTGGCCTAAAAAGGTGGGACATCTTGAAGCAGGGAAGCTCATAGGTCATAGGTAGATTCAAAGATTTTCTGACTTGTTATTGGTTAAGCTTTGTCTAAAAACTTGGGGTCAGCAGAAAGGAATCTTGAGCTCTGGCCTGTGGGTGTGACTTCCTCCAGGACCCTTAGTAGGAAGAAATTTGGAATAGAGAACAGTGGTCACAGTTCAGTCCTCAATTCTCTCTTCTCTGAGGTCTATGTGCCAGTAGATGACATTTTCCATTTGGTATGGTCCAGGTTTCTGAAAAGCAACTCAAGAATATTGTTAAGGTGTAATCTTTAGTTTCTGTAGGGAACCGAACATTCTGTGGCTCAGACTTCCTTGGCTATTGTGTGAGGCTCTCGTCACCTTCTTGTTTTCTAGGTTGCTTATTTACTTCTCAAGGCTGGGTAGGTGCCTGGAATTTCCCTTAAAGAAACTCAAGATGTTCCTTTATTTCCATGCTTGTCGGGGGTGGCAGGCCTCCAAGAGGGGTCCCTGCTGCATCTCAAGCGTGGTCTATTCTCTCTCAGAACTTGTCAGATATTCTCCTTGCCTGTTGTTCTATACTTTCATGATGCCTTAGCAAGCCTCTGTTTTCACCGTAGGGCCTGTTGGCTCTTGGGAGCTGTTCAGTCTGGAAACACACTCGTTTTCTTCTGGGAAATGTCTCAGAGTTATTTTTCTTAATTTTCTGTCTTCTGTTTGGTTGGCTTTGTCTTTCGGCATTTCCTAGTTTTTGAATGTTGGACTTTCTAGATTGGACCTCTAACATCCTTATATTTTTCTCTTCTATCTGCCATCTCTTTTTATTTTTGTTCTACTTTTTGAGAGATTTCCTCAAATTTATCTTCTAGCCCTTTATCTGCTATCATGATTTTAATACATATAAAGAGTTCTTTGTTGTCTGAGTCAGTTTCTCTCTGTCTCTCTTCTCTCCCTCCTTTCCCTTCCTATCTCTCTTTCATGGCATTCTGTTCTAGTTCCATGAAAGCAGTATCTCCTCATACCTCTCTAAGGATATTAACCATATTTTTAAAATGTCTTCTTTCTGCACAGTTTCTGTTCACCCCAAGTGGCTTCCCCTTCCCCTTCCCCTGTTGCTTCTCTCTCCTGTTTATTTTGGGAGGGACTTAGCAGAACATCAGTGGGGCTTGTTAACGCTGAGCTCCCCTATAGAGTGATCCTGCTGGGGCCATTCTGTTAGCAAGATTGCTCTTTCTGGCTTGTCACATTTACCAGAAAGCATCCTCTTATCTCCTATCAGGAGGAGGGATGAAAGGCTCAGTGTTCTGGGAGCTGGGTAGGATCATACCTTTTCATGAAATTACCCTGATTTCATTTTGGCACTCTTACTTTCAGCCACGTATTTCTCAACCAAGAGAGCCCATTTGTCACCTCAGGGGTGGTAAGTTCAATCACTCAGCATGTGGAGGTGGGAGGGAGCCTGGAGATCAAACCACTTTGTAAACACATCACACTCTTCCTTATAGGTGCCTGTATTACTACTTCAAGGGGGCTTCTGGAGCCACTGGCTCCCAGTCATTTGAGGATTACTTGGGATAAACCAGTTGGTTCTCACATTTTCCAGCTCTGGCCCAGATCACGCTTGTGTGTCTGTGGAGTCAGCCTCCACTCCCCTTCCGCTTTTACAGCTTCCAAACATGTTTTTGTTTTGTTTACTCTTTTGTTTTCCCCATCATTAAAAAAACAAATCCCTTTGCTGTCATTTCAATGGCTCTATTAGGGAGTGAAATTGCATGCATGTGTTTAAACTGCCTATTTGCCTGATTGTTGAGAAAAGTTAATTTTATGTTTGTAATTTTACAAGGAAGACTCCTTTTAAAATTTTACTTAATTTAGTGAACTGACAAAATGCCATGTGAATCTAGTTTTCTGCTTTAAACATGCATGTTTTTTTTTTTTTTTTTGAGATGGAGTCTCGCTCTGTCACCCAGGCTGGAGTGCAATGGCGATCTCCACTCACTGCAAACTCTGCCTCCTGAGTTCACGCCATTCTCCTGCCTCAGCCTCCCGAGTAGCTGGGACTACAGGTGCCCACCACCACGCCCAGCTAATTTTTGTATTTTTAGTAGAGACGGGATTTCACCGTGTTAGCCAGGATGGTCTCAATCTCCTGACCTCGTGATCCGCCCACCTCAGCCTCCCAAAGTGCTGGGATTACAGGCATGAGCCACCGCGCCCGGTGAAACATGCATTCTTAACCTTTATAATACCTCTACAGTTGTAATGACAAGTTCAAAGTTATTTCCACAATATCTGTCTGACTTTGCCATTGGAGTATGAGAATGAGAACAATTGTGCCCAGTTGAATCTGACCACTTTACACCAGAGGTAGGAAGTGGTGGAAAAATTGCCCACGACTAAGACCTAAAAGGATGATTTTAAACTAGGGGCAGCTAGCTAGGAATCTTAGATCTGAAATCCTGGATGATATCCTTCCACTCCACATGAAAAACCCATCTATAATCTAATGTCCCATGGGACCCAGTCTTGCCTTCAGTGAATGCCGTAATAATTGCAAAAAGCAAACTCCAATTGTTACTTGCATCATTTGAAAAATAATTGAGGAGATCCACTTCACAACCCAAGGCTACTCATCTAAAACCTCCTTTGCTAGCCCGGCTTGGTGATGTGCGCCTGTAATCCCAGCTACTCAGGAGGCTGAGGCAGGAGAATTGATTGAACCCGGGAAGCGGAGGTTGCAGTGAGCTGAGATTGTGCCATTGCACTCCAGCCTGGGTGACAAGAGTGAAATTCTGTCTCAAAAAAGCCCAAACAACAACAACAACAACAACAAAAAACCCATGCTTCTCCTCCCCAAATAGCCCTCCAGAGTCTTCCATCACTCCTTTTGAGGCCCAGCCCATGTGGCTCTGCTCCCCACCCTCCTTCTCCTTGTCTCTGAACTCCTTGCTACATAGCGTGTTGCAGCATGTCTGGTTGAATCTGCATCGCTTTATTTTTTTCTCCTGGTGCTACATCAGCAGCTGGGTCTAACCCAGAGGCTCTTTCTAGCGGGTCAGGGAGGTGGAGAGTCCAACAGGGTAAGAAGAACATTTTTCTTATCTAGCTGTGGAGTGACAGAGAGAGGGCTGGCTAGGGACATAAGAAATCATATCTCCTTTATACTTCATGTAAAAGATCTGATATTATTCCAGATATATTTACCTGGAATAAATCCTCAAGATTAAAGCCTTATGGTTTTTTTGGGTAAACATTTGCAGTGATAAGGCATAAGAGACATCACTTTTCATTCCTATGTTCTTTTTGCTTTTCTATTTTCACTTTCTGAAACAGAAAAGTAATGATCTTTATTCCTCTTTCCTTATGTATGTGTTGTCATGATTTTGTTACAAATAATCATCTTCAGGTAAATGTATTGTATTAGTACAAGGTTTTAGATATCAATTAATTAATTCATCCATTCATTCATTCAACAGGCGTTTGGTTCTTCTCTCTCCAGGCCTGGGCTGACATGAAACTCATCGTTATAATGGTATATGATGAGGTGGTGGAGTCAGGGCCTCAGGCAGGGATAAAGCTCAGAGGGAGAAGATAGAGTGGGGCTGGAGGAACCTGTAAGGACCACTGCCCCATTCTGACACCATGGCCCTTTATTTATTTTTATTATTATGTTTTTGAGATGGAGTCTCCCTTTGTCACCCAGGCGGGAGTGAAGTGGTGAGATCTTGGCTCACTGCAACCTCCACCTCCCACGTTCAAGTGATTCTCCTACCTCAGCCTCCTGAGTAGCTGGGATTATAGGCGTGCACCACCACAGCAGCTAATTTTTGTCTTTTTAGTAGAGATGGGGTTTCACCATGTTGGCCAGGCTGGTCTCAAACTCCTGACCTCAAGTGATCTGCCCACCTTGGCCTCCCAAAGTGCTGGGATTACAGACATGAGCCACCGCACCCAGACAGGCCCTTTAAAGAAGACCTCAATGACCACTTCCTGGAGAGGAAATCTGGTGCCTTTGGCAGGGAATGATTTATTTCTTTATGTTGATAATAACCATCTGCTGGAGTTGAACCAAGAATTATATGTCTGCACTGAAGGAAATCATTTAGGAATATTTCTCTATATTGCAGAGCCCTGGATATAACAACATTGCAGCAACAAATATTAATTGCAACAAGTGTTTTTGGCAGGTTACCGTCTCGTTTACATATCTCACCTGAATGAGGCTCCTCTTTTTCCGACCTCTCTCTGGACATTGTAAAAGAAAATAAAATTTCAGGGCCCTATAAATTTTTATACCATGGGGGAACTTAAGCCTGGAGACTGAGTCACGTAGCATGTTGTTTGCAATTCTGCTTCTTATTATAGCTTAACTCTCTTACTCACTGTTCTTGTCCTAGAATTGACTAGGAGAGACCAGATACCAGATCTACCCACCTTCCAATCACTGATCTTGGTTATAGATTGACTGCCTCATTTATTGTCCTGTACCTAACTCAGACCAGATGGTACACAAGACTTGATGATGTTGCAGGGTAAACCCTGAAACGGGGGCTTAGCCCAGGAGGCCACATGGGTTTTTTGGCTTTGCACAGGAAAGAATTCAAGAGTGAGCTGACAGAGAGAGTGAGAGCAAGTTTATTAAGAAAGTAAATGAATAAAAGGGCGATTACTTCATAGGCAACCCTCAGGGCTGCTGGTTGGCTATTTTTATGGTTGTTGCTTGATCATATGCTAAACAAAGTGTGGATTATTGATGAGTTTTCTGGAAACTGGTGGTGAATCCTCAAAACCCGGGGTTCCTCCTCTTTTTGGACCATATAGGGTAACTTCTGGAAGTTACCATGGCATCTGTTAACTGTCATGGCGCCAGTGGGAGTGTCTTTTAGCATGCTGATGCACTATATAATTAGCATATAATAAGCCATGAGGACAACCAGAGGTTGCCTTTGTAGCTGTCTGTGTTCTAGCTGGTTTGGACTGGCTTCTCTGCCACATCAGCAGGGTCTTTGTGACCTGTGTCTTGTGAAACAAGTCCTTGCAAACTCCTATCTCAATGACAGTTATATCTTCAGTGTGGAATGTAAATATACTTTTCCTGAAAGGAAAAAAGCCCTGGCGATTCTTTCGGTGCCGCTTTGCCAGCTGGAAACCTCTGTCCGGTGGTGCCTTTGCTCGGGCTTTGCTTGGTTCTGGGCTTGGCACTGGGCTCACTCCTCCCACTTAGCCTGGCGGGCTGCGCTCAGTTCTTGCTACTGTCCCAGATCCTTCACCTTCTGTGGGCAAGCCAGGTGCAGAGCGGCAAAAGGTGTGTGAGCCAGTGAGCAGAGGGTCCGGCCACAGTGCACAGCCAGTCATGCCGGCTGTTGTGGTTGGGTGGGCAGCTCTAGGTGCCAGCACAGGCATGGGCTCCATGAAAGGCTGCAGCTGGACCAGGTGTGCCTTGAATGGCTTCCACCTTGGGTGCTGGCATCTGGATGAGGGCAACACAGTGGCTCCCAGAAACTCGGAGACACAGCAACCCTGGAGCCCCAAGCGGGTGTTACAGTGGGTCACAACTCTGGCTCAGGGAGTCCCGAGGTCTCGGCCCCCAGAGGGTCACAGCTCTTCTCTCATAGTCTGGTGAATGGGAGTGCATCACCGCCTGCAACTTGGTGGGCCAGCCAGGAATATGTTTCAGCTCGTTTGCCCACTGCTGCTTCCTGTCACATGGGGAGGCCACCTGGCAATGGCAGAGGGCAGGAGGGCTACAGTGTTACAGCTCCTTTCTCACCCACTGTTTGGTGGGTCTTGGGTTCTTGTCCAAGAAGAATGAGGTTACATGGACAAGCGGAGAGTCAGCAAGGCAGAGAAGAGTTTTATTGAGTGACAGAACAGTTTTTGACATGAGAGGGGACCCGAAGTGGGTAACCCATATCTGAAGGTGGGTAGTCCCAACATGTAGCTGAGTCCAGGGGTTTCATGGGCTCAGAATGGGGGAGTGTGTGCTGATTGGTCCATAAGCAGTCCTGGAAAAAGCACCATTTGACTGGCTATAAAAGCATCAAGGAAGTTCTCACTCAGGTCATGGACTCTACCTGGAGCTGGCTGCCTGGTTTTCAGGCTTCAGGCTGTCTATGGCTTGAAGATCAGGTTTCATTGGGGACCTGCCCCTGTCTGCCTAGGAATTTGTCTGCCTTCTACTGCTATCAACACTTTGGCTCATCAGATTGTTGTAATTATGCATTCAGCCTTCCATAGAAAGATGTTAGGCCAGGTGCAAGCGGCTCACACCTGTAATCCCAGCACTTTGGAAGGCCAAGGCAGGCGGATCATGAGCTCAGGAGGTCGAGACCATCCTGGCTAACACGGTGAAACCCCGTCTCTACTAAAAAATGCAAAAAAAAATTAGCTGGTTGTGGTTGCAGACCCCTGTAGTCCCAGCTACTCAGGAGGCTGAGACAGGAGAATCGCTTGAACCCGGGAGGCGGAGGTTGCAGTGAGCCAAGATCATGCCACTGCATTCCATCCTAGGTGACAGAGTGAGACTCCATCTCAAAAAAAAAAAAAAAAAAAAAAAAGAAAGATGTTGAAATTCTGTTAAGCTTCCCTAAGCTTTGTTCATACAAGCAATCCCAAACTTCTACTACACTTTGAAGCACAGATTTCCATTCTTTGGAATACATTCTTCCCAAGTGGGCTGTCCTCAACTTTGTACTGTTGGGATAAATTCTCTTTGAACTAGATTCTGAACCTTTTGATTATTTTAGGTTGACAATACTGTTGGGACATTGGCTTTAAAAGAGACCTGAGAAATCACAGGCTTGGGTGGCTTTCCTTTCATGCTGGGCATCAAATTTTCCAAATTTTCCTAGTGGAGGCTCCTGCACCAGAGTCAGGATTTCTGCAGAGATCACAGGGTGAGCACGTTCTTAAGGTAAACGTGAATTAAGCAAATGCACAAACATATGCACAAACAACTTTTGCTGTCAGAGTCATTCCAATTTGCAGAATCACTGGGCTTGAAATGACTTCCCTATACCCTGTGTTCAGGTGGAGTGGAGCCACCAACAGCTAAGACAGGAGGCAGGAATAGTCTAATTTCTGAACAACTGACCTTTGTCCAAAAATGAGCGCTGACTGGCAACCTTGGTTTACAATTGTGCTTTCCACCTCACACTACCCAGAGGAGGAGAATGGCAAAGCCCAGAAAACCAGCCAACCAGCAGCCACTCATCAGAATCCCTGCAGTCACTCAAGAATCTGCAGGTTAGATAGAGCATAATTTCCAGGAGGGATTATTTCACTCTCCTGTTTGAGCATACAGTTGGAATGAGGGGCCTTTGCTCTCTCTTTCCAGGAAATTTCCCCTGCAACAATTTTTCTGCCCTTGCTTCATTCAGCAGACATCACTGAGAACGTGTTCAGTGGGAATAGGATTGTGCCTCTGTGATACTGTGAAATATATATTTGGGCTTCATCTGTTTCCTGGCACATGGCTCATAAAACACTTGGAATCTCCAGAGTGATGAGTCTTTTGTATGTCAATGAAATGACTGCTGGTTGGGGGCCCCTGAATAGCCTCAGGATGGGGCTGGTTCCCAGGGGAACCAACCATGTGGTCAGAGGGTTGGAACTTTCAGCTCCGATGGGACCTCCTGGGAGGGAAGAGGGGCTGAAGATTGAGTTGACCACCAATGGCCAATGATGTCATCAGTCATGCCTACATAATAAAGCTTCCATGAAACCCCAAAAGAGCAGAGTTTGGGGAGTTTCTGGCTAGCTGAACACGTAGAGATTCCTGGAGGGTGGTGTTCCCGGAGAGGGCATGGAAGCTCCATACCCCTTCTCTCATATGCATCTCCCTAAGCATCTCTTCATCCTCAGACATCCTTACATAATCTGTATCCTTTTTCATATATTTTATAATAAATGGATAGATGTAAGTGAAGTGTTTCCTTGATTTCTGTGAGCTCCTGTAGCAAATTAAACAAACTTAAGGAGAGGGTCATGGGAACCCCTATGTATAGCCACTGGGTCAAAAGCACAGGTTAAACAACCTGGGGCTTGGTTGGTGTCTGAAGTAGAAGAGGCCGTCTTGTGGGACTGATCCCTTAACCTGTGGGATATGACCCTACATATCCCAACCTGCCTGCTAACTATAGGCAGGTTGTGTCAAAATGGAATCGAATTATAAGACTCCCAGCTGGTGTCCACTGGAGAACTGGTTGATGTGTAGGGAAAACCCCCACACATCTAATGTCAGAAGTGAGTGGTGAGTGGTAGTGAGAATAGGAGAAATACCTTGGTTTTTCCTGTCTCTTAGCCTCCTTCTACCTGTAGGGGCTTAGGTCTCAAGGGGAGAGATGGCAGGTGGAGATAGTCCCCTCTGATCCCAGGTGGCAGGTCCATCAGCACTGATGTGGTCCCTGTCCCCATCTTTCCCCTTATGGCACCCAGCACTCAACCTCCCTTAAGCTCTCCATGCTGAGCAAATAGATGTCTCTGCATGCAACTGATACCCTCTGTGTTTCCCAAGAGACACAGACAACAAAGAAGAGCCAGAGGGTCCAGGTAGCCCTCAGACCACCTCTTTCCCATAGGGACGACTGCCTGCTCTCTTGTTTGCTTCCACTTCCAGGTGGCCTCTGGAGGGATGGGGACAAGGAGCTTGGTGCCTTTTCTCTGTTGGGATGGCATGTGCTCAGGCCCGGGAGGAGGCCTGCTCATGGCCCGTGGACTACAGGTTACATGGCAAGTATGATCAATGCCACCAGGAATAGCAGCAGCTCTCTGGAGGCTGAAAGCTATTATAGGCACCCATGATGCTGGGCTCTAATGACAGCCCAGAGAGGAGGCTGCAACACGAGCTTGTCCCCTGAGACTCAGAGCTTTGCCCCCTACAAGAATCTGTCCTTCATGACCAGCCAGCATCTGGTACTTGCCCCTCCAACAGCAACAACAGCAAATCGAATTGCAAAGGGCTTCCTCGCTACCAAGCACGTTCACTTGCTCGACCTCATCCCTGCCATCCGTAGGCCTGTCCCTTGAATGGGGATTCAAGGGCCTAGGTGGCCAGCTACTGCAGCAGGTCCCTGAGCTAGACTCTGAGCACAGAATCCCCACTCCATGCACTGCCTGTGGTCAGAGCTTCATTCTACTCGCCCAGTTTGTTTAAATCCCACACTTCAGAACAATCACGACCAGTAAGTCCCTCTACCCTGAAATTGCAAAACAAATGGCCTCAGTGGAAAGAGTGTGTGTGTCCATCTTTCAGGACCGGCCGGTGCCCTTTCTGGCCATTTCCACTTCTCATACAGAGCAAAGCCACCAAGTGGCAGGTTTTATGAAGTCAGCCTGTCCTGAGAACGTAAAAGGTTTGGCTGAAGTGGGACATATGTAAACACAGGATGTGAGTGTCTGGAGGGTTTCTAAAACCTTTTCGGGTTAACCTTCATGGCCTGCCCTGTCCTGGCCCTGCTGCGTGGCCTCAGGATCTAGTGGGGCTCATGGAAGGAGGTCTGTAGTTTTCCCTGGGAATAATTGCAGAGTATTCCTGTCTTTTATCATCAGGAACCTAATACACATCCTTAGGCAGCAGTTCAAACAATTCCCAGTAAATTCTGGCCTCAGTGAAGATGATGAAAAAAGGCCTGGTCACTTTTGCAAGAAAGCCCTTCCTGGACCTCTGGATGTGGATGCATCTTTCTGCCAGCGGGAGGTTCTCCCCTGAGATCCTGTCATTGCCCACTCAGCCCTTCTGCTTGTTGGAACTCCTACCCAGTACTAGACAAAAACACAAACTGGCAAGCCACAGAAAAGAGACGGAAAGGCTGACACCCCCACAAGGAGATGCTAAACCTCACTTGTCATCGGAAAAATGGATTGCCGGGGCATCTCTGGAATTGGAGGGGCCTGGGTGTCCACCAAAGCAAAGATCCACATGGTGGATGCAGCATCTAGAGTGCAGGGGACTAGATGTTTATGAAGCGTAACAGAATCAGTTAGAAAAGGGAAACTGCACTACCTGCGACAAACAGAGAGAAGAGCATGCAGAAGTATCTTGGCTATGCCAGGTTCAAGAGCAAAGAAGACACAGGCCAGGTGCAGTGCTGTGCATTGTAAATCCCTGCTATTGTGGATGCTGAGGTTGGAGATCGCTTGAGCTCAGGAGTTTGAGTCCAAGTCTAGCCTGGGCAACATAGTAAGACCCAGTCTCTAAAAAAAAGAAAGACAATTTAGGAAGCTGCAGACAACAAGCCTGGGAATGTTGAACGTCACTATAGGTTCTCATTTCCAGCATCACAGTGTAGAGAGGAGTGGCCTTGGGCTGAGACCCAGAATCTGACCCCACAGCAGCAGAGATGGATATTGAGAGCACTGCGCTGGGGGAGGAAAGAAAAACACAAGATGATTCATGAGATAGGTGTGCAACATTATCTTTATGCAATTAAAAATATATGTACACACACAAGAAGACCCCACACATGGGGTGTGATGGTTAATACTGAGTGTCGACTTGATTGGATTGAAGGATGCAATATTGATCCTGGGTGTGTCTGTGAGGGTGTTGCCAAAGGAGATTAACATTTGAGTCAGTGGGCTAGGGAAGGCAGTCACCTTAGTCAGGTGGACACCATCTAATCAGCTGCCAGTGAATATAAAGCAGGCAGAAAAACGTGAAGAGATGGAACGGGCCTAGCCTCCCAGCCTACATCTTTCTCCCATGCTGGATTCTTCCTGCCCTCAAACATCAGACTCCAAGTTCTTCAGTTTAGGGACCCGGACTGGCTCTCCTTGCTTCTCAGCTTGCAGACAGCCTATTGTGGAATCTTGTGATTGTGTAATCTTGTGATTGTGTAAATTAATACTTAATAAACTCCTCTTTATCTATCATCTATCTATCAATCTATCGATCAATCTATCTACCATCTACTATCTATCTATCTATCTATCTTTCTATCTACCTATCATCTATCTGTCTAATTAGTTCTGTCCCTCTAGGAGAACCCTGACTAATACATGGGACAATGACACACACAAACCAGTCTACACAATAAAAGCCTTAGAGTGAATTCCTAATGCTGGAGGAGGGGGAAAGGTAGGGGTGTGGGGATACAAAGGGGCATAAATAAGCAAGCACCAATAACAAGAGGGGAGCCTTGTGTGGACAGTAATCCCAATGTGCCGAGAACCTCTGCCCAGAGGATTAGAAACCAACCACACCAGCCATGACATGACACTGGTGCACACCCACCAGAAGGACTCTGATCCTAAAGGTGGGAAAGCCAAGCTCAGGAGAAGAGGTGGAATAACTGGAAGTCTCTGTGCTGCTGGTGGGGATGCAGACTCATACAGCCATTTGAGAAATTGAATTTGGCTGATTGTCCTAAAGCCGAAAAATTGCACATCTAGGAATTCCAAGGTGTATCCCAACGGATCCTATGTTACCCAAAGACACGACCAGGAATGTGCATAGCAGCACTAGTTGTAACAGGTGCTGACTGGGAATAGCTCCATCACCCCTCAGAAGTAGAATGCGTAAATCATTTGTAGTATATTTACACAACATGATACTACACAGGGACAACCTACAACTACATACAATAGAGATGAATCTCAACAATTAATGTGGAGGAAAAGGAGCCAGGCACACAGAGTACATACTGTATGTTTCCATTGATAGAAAATACAAAAGCAGAGAAAATTGATCTGTGTTTGTTAAAAGTCAGATAGTGCTCACTCTTGGTGGAGGGGTGGTTAGAAATGCAAAGGGCACCCAAGGGTGCGGCTGGGGGCGGCTGGGAGTGCTGGAGGTGCTCTGCATCTCCATCTAGGTGCTGGTTACATGGGTGTGTTCACTTCGTGAAAATCCATCAGGCCCTTCATTTCTGTTAACTTTCAAATAAAAAATGAAAAAAGAAAGAAAGAAAAGCAATTTAAATTGTAGTAAGGAGACTGGGAGCGGTGGCTCATCCCAGCACTTTGGGAGGCCGAGGTGGGTGGATCACTTGAGGTCAGGAGTTCAGGACCAGCCTGGCCAACATGGTGAAACCCCATTTCTACTAAAAATACAAAAATTAGCCAGGCATGGTGGCGTGGCCCGTAATACCAGCTACTTAGGAGGCTGAGGTAGGAGAATCACTTGAACCCGGGGGGTGGAGGTTGCAGTGAGCTGAGATTATGCCACTGCACTCCAGCCTGGGTGACAGGGCAAGACTCTGTCTCAAAAAAAAAAAAATTGTAGTGAGGCATTAAGAGACATACAAATAGTAGGACAGAAGGCAGAGGAAATTTTGCTTATTGACAAAATCCCAACACTTCGGGAGGCCAAGGCAGGTGGATCACAAGGTCAAGAGATCGAGACCATCCTGGCCAACATGGTGAAACCCTGTTTCTACTAAAAATACAAAAATTAGCTGGGCGTGGTGGCACACACCTGTAGTCCCAGCTACTCGGGAGGCTGAGGCAGGAGAATCGCTTGAACCCAGGAGGTGGAGGTTGCAGTGAGCCGAGATCATGCCACTGCAATCCAGCCTGGTGACAGAACGAGACTCCATCTCAAAAATAAAAATAAAAATAAAATAAACAGACTGAGGGCTTACCACATATGGGGTCTGGGGTCAGAAGACAGAGATAGACCGACTTGATTCCTGTTTGTGGTAATGGACACAATGAACAGAAATACACATGTATGCTCGTGCACATGCATGCTCACACATATGTGTGTACACACACACGTGTGTGCACTTGGCGACTTTCTATTCTAACTTTTCTGCACCCTGAATTTCTCATGTCGCAGCATCTGTTGCTGATTACTTTATATTCATACATTAGTTCTTCTCCTGACTTCCCATAGCTCAGGTCAAAAGCTGTGGAGTCATCTCCAGTGCCTGCTGTTCTTCACGTCCCACACCCGGTGCTTTAGGAGGCATCTATCTCGAACCGCCCACTCCCACCCTCCTTGCGCCCCTCAGCCTCTCACTTGCGTGGTCACAGTGGGCTCTCCGCTGGATTCCCAGTACTCACTCCAGACTCCCTATATTGCTTTGCCCATACAGCCACTCAAATGAGCCTTCTGAGGTTTAAATTGGATCATGTGGTGTTGCTGCTTCTCAGTGCCTTTAGACTAAAGTCCAGTCCTCTCCCAACCACCCTGCTGCTCCCCTATTTCTCTGCACCTCCCTTTCTCCCCTCCAGACACACCACCCTCTCCTCTCAAGAGCTTGTGGCTGGCTAGGCGTTCTCTCGGGAGCATCCTTCCCCACCTCTTTGCAGTCATCACTCTTTCCAATTGTTCACACCTCTGCCTAAATATCTCCTCAGAGGACCCTTCCCTGACCCTCCCATTCAAAAATGGCACCTGACTTCTAGCGTGCTTGAGTTTCATCAAAGCCCTTCTCTGGGCCGGGCGCGGTGGTTCACACCTGTAATCCTAGCACTTTGGGAGGCCAAAGTGGGTGGATCACTTAAGGTCAGGAGTTTGAGACCAGCCTGGCCAACATGGTGAAACCCTGTCTCTACTAAAAATAAAAAAATTAGCTGGGCGTGGTGGCATGTGTCTGTAATCCCAGCTACTCAGGAGGCTGAGGCAGGAGAATCGCTTGAACCTGGGAGGCAGAGGTTGCAGTGAGCTGAGATTGCACCATTGCACTCCAGCCTGGGGGACAAGAGCGAAACTCCATTTGAAAAAAAAAAAAGCCCTTCTCTGATGTTGTCTATCTATCTATCTATCTATCTATCTGTCTATCTATCTATCTATTATCTATCTATCTATCTATCTATCTATCTATCTATCTATCGTCTATTTATAGCTATCATCTATTTATCTGTCATCTATTATCTATCATGTATATATGTACAATGTATGTACATATCTATCTATTTATATATTTATTTATTTATTTTTTGAGATGGAGTTTCACTCTTGTCGCCCAGGCTGGAGTGCAGTGGCACCATCTCAGCTCACTGCAACCTCCGCCTCCAGGGTTCAAGTGATTCTCCTACCTCAGCCTCTGATGTAGCTGGGATTACAGGCATGTGCCACCATGCCCAGCTTATTTTTTATTTTTAGTAGAGACGGGGTTTCTCCATGTTGGTCAGGCTGGTCTTGAACTCCCGACCTCAGGTGATCCACTCGCCTCGGCCTCCCAAAGTGCTGGGATTACAGGCGTGAGCCACTGTGCCCAGCTGTATCTATTAATCTGTCTAATCTATTATCTGTCTTTTATTTACCTTTCTCTTTCTCATCTATCTTTATCTCTGTCAACCATCTGTCTATTATACATTTACTAATATTTCTTTTTCTTTAGATCTCTTGATTCTTATTTTGATTTTATTTTTGTAAGAAGACTTCACATAAGATCTCTCTTAACAGATTTCTAGTTGACAATACAGTATTGCCAACTACAGGCACAATGTCTTGGAGCAGATCTCTAGAACTTATTCATGTGGCACAGATGAAACTTCATATCCATTGAGTAGCAACCTCCCATTTTCTCCTCCCCCAGCCTCTGGCAACCACCATTCTACTCTATTCCTGTGAGTTTGACTACTTTAGACACCTCCTGTAAGTGGAATCATGCAGTATTTGTCCTCCTGCACCTGGTTTATTCCACTGAGCATGATATCCTCAAGGTTCATTTGTGTTGTCACAAATGGCAAGATTTCCCTCTTTTGTAAGGCTGGATAACATTCCATTGTATGTGTGTACCACATGTTTTATCCATTCATCTGTCGATGGACATGATGGTTATGTTTCCATCTTGGCTATTGTGAATAATGCTGCAGGGGACATGGGACTGCAGATATCTTTCTGAGATCCTGATCTCAATTCTTTTGGATAAATACCAAGAAGTAGGATTGCTGGATCATATGAGAGTTCTATTTTTAATTTTTTGAGGAATTGTTCCATATTGTTTTCCATAGCAGCTGCATCATTTTGCATTGCCACCAACTGGGTACAAGGGTTCCAATTATTCCACATCCTCTCTAACACTTGTATTTTAATTTTAATTTTTTTAAATTTTTGAGACAGAGTCCTTCTCTGTCTTGCCCAGGCTGGAGTGCAGTGGCATGATCTTGGCTCACTGCAGCCTCTGCCTCCCAGATTCAAGTGATTCTCCTGTCTCAGCCTCCTGAGCAGCTGGGATTACAGGTGCGGGACACCACACCTGGCTAATTTTGTATTTTTAGTAGAGAGAGGGTTTCACCACATTGGCCAGGCTGTTCTTGAGCTTCTGAACTCATGTGATCCACCCACCTTGGTCTCCCAAAGTGCTGAGATTACAGGCATGAGCCACCGTGCCCAGCCAACACTTGTATTTTTGTTGTTGTTAATAATAGCCATTCTAACAAGTGTGAGGTGATATCTCATTGTGGTTTTGATTTGCATTTCCCTGATAATTAGTGATGTTGAAAATCTTTTCATATACCTGTTTGCCATTTGTATGTTTTTGGAGAAGTGCCTATTCAAGTCCTAATCCCATTTTTAATTGAGTTATTAATTTTTTGTTTTGCTTTTTCTATTGAGTTTTATGAATTCCTATATGCTTTGGAAATCAGCCTCTTATCAGATATACAGTTTACAGATATTTTCTCCCATTGCATAGGTTGCCTTTTCACTCTGTTGATTGTTTTCTTTGCTGTGTTGAAGCTTTTTAGTTTGATGTAATCCCACTTGTCTATTTTTGCCTTAGTTATCTGTGCTTTTAGTGCCAGATCCATTAAATCATTGCCAAGGCCAATGTCATGAAGATTTCCCTTATGTTTTCTTTTCTTTTTTTTTTTGAGATGGAGTCTTGGTCTGTTACTCAGGCTGGAGTGCAGTGGCATGAACTCAGCTCATGACAACATGACAACCTCTGCCTTCCGCGTTCAAGCAATTCTCCTGCCTCAGCCTCCTGAGTAGCTGGGACTGCAGGCACGCACCACCACACCTGGCTAATTTTTATATTTTTAGTAGAGACAGGGTTTCACCATGTTGACCAGGCTGGTCTCAAACTCCTGACCTCAGGTGATCCACCCAGCTCGGCCTCCGAAAGTTCTGGGATTACAGGCATGAGCCACTGCGCCTGGCCGATCCCTTATGTTTTCTTTTAGGAGTTTTACAGTTTCAGGTCTTATATTTAAATCTTTAATCCATTTTGAGTTGATTTTTGTGTATGGTGTAGACAAAGGACACATTTCATTCTTTTGCATGTTTCATTCTTTTCTGGTTTTCCCAACACCACTTACTGAACTTCTTTCATCAAAGTTTTGTAGTTTTCAGTGTTCAAGTCTTTCATCTTTTTAGTTACGTTTATTCCTAAGTATTTTATTTCTTTTGATGCTATTGAAAATGGTATATTATCTATCTTTCTATCTAGCCTATTATCTATCTATCATCTATCTATCTATCTATCTAATCTAGCTCTATCATTTCTAATCTATCATCTTTCTATTATCTATCATCTATCTATCTATCTATCTATCTATCTATCTATCTATCTATCTATCATCTAATATGTTTTCTTTCTCCACAGACAGACTGTGACTTCTTTGAGAGCAGAAATTCCATCTGCCTGGTTGATAGAACTGGTACATAGTAGATTCTCTATAACTATTTCCTGACTTATTGAATTCTTTTTTTTCTCTGGGGGAGTCTTGCTCTGTTGCCCAGGCTGGAGTGCAATGACGTAACCTAGGTTCACTGCAACCTCTGCCTCCCAGGTTCAATCCATTCTCCGGCCTCAACCTCCTGAGTAGCTGGGATTACAGGTGCCTGCCACCATCCCCAGCTAATTTTTGTATTTTTAGTACAGACAGGGTTTCACCATGTTGGCCAGCCTTGTCTCCAACTCTTGACTTCGTGATTTGCCCGCCTCAGCCTCCCAAAGTGCTGGGATTACAGGCGTGAGCCACCGCGCCTGGGCTTGAATTCTTTTTAATGTCTATGCAGCATGTTAAAGTGGGTATACTATAATTTATTCTCTACAGTCCTTGGTTGATAGAATTGATGCCAGTCTTTAACTTTTACTTCAATAAATATCCTTGTATATATGCCAACCAGGACTTTTGTTGGACTACAATTAACTTCAAGATGAATTGGTGAAAGAGTAAAAAAATGATTCATCTCTGTTTTTCTAAACAGTGTGCCAGTTGTCCCATTCTGACTTAGGGAATAATCTGTCTTTCTCCCGCTAATAAAATAAGACACTAATATGTAAGGCACTAATCTCTCACTTATACCACAAGGGCCTGGAGCTGTGACTTAAGTACTTGGGCCTTTCTTCTCTGTGTGGGGAGCAGCCCAGACTCCAGGCCAACCCCTAGGCTCTCTGCATCGGGTTGCTCTCCACTCCCTACAGCAGGACCAAGACCAGCCTGAGTTGAAGGAGGTACTGATGCTCAGAATTCAGGGGGGCCCTCACTTGGGTGATGCTGGGTGCCAGTCCCTCCTTAAATTTTGCAACCTAGGTACGTGACTTGCCTCACCCAGTCCCAACCCTACCCCTAAGGTTGTGTTCTTACTGTGTGACCACAGATGGTTACTACCGTGGGTGGAGCCACGCTGGGCTAGGGGATACCCAGGGGAAGTTACTTGCTTTTAAGTTAGAGATGATCAAGTACACAGAATTCCCTATAGCCCAGCACTGCAGCCACAGGCACATGCAACTATCTGAGCACAAGAAATATGGCTAGTGCAACTAACTGCATCTTTAACAATGTCTTATTTTAATTAATTTAAATTTAAATTTAAATGCCCACATGTGGCTAGTGGCTACTGAATGGGATGGCACAGGGGGATCCACACTGAGAACTTCAGCTTTCCTCTCTCTGGCCAAGACTTGGTCACATGGCTGTACTTGAGTAGAGAGAGCCCGGGGGTGTCGTCCCTGGCCAGACAGCCATGGACCCAGCTCCGCACTGGGGAGGGTGAGAGGCAGGCTTGGTGCCACTGAAAAGACTGAGGGGACACTGGGCCCCCCAGGGGATCAGCACTGAGGGCCACAACCTCAAACTCTAAGAGTCACCTGCATCTGGCATTATCTTTCCATATTTATGTTTATACTTGGGCCTCTTTCTGGTCTTTCCAAGTAGTCCGTCAATCTGTTTGTCCTATCAAGCTATTTGATTTTCTGTATCATTATAATGTTTTATCATCTGGTAGAGCAAATCTTCCCTGTTTTCTCTTCTTTTGCAGAACTTCCTTGGGTATTCTCACATGTTTAGTTTTTCTGCAATAAGCTAAATGTCAGTATGTAGTTCAGAAGAGAATCCTGTTGTTTTTACATGAATCCACATTTATTTCACGTTCATTTATAATATGGTTTGATGAGAACCCACTTGGTTACATTATGGAGGCTTTGATCCAGCAAGAAGATCTGAGATATCTTTTATTCAAATTTTGTTTTACATCTCTTGATGAATTTTTTTTTTTCTTGGACAACGCCTCACTCTCACCCAGGCTGGAGTACAGTGGCACAATCATGGCTCACTGCAGCCTCAACCTCTCAGGCTCAAGCGATATTTCCACTTCAGCCTCCTGAGTAGCTGGGAATACAGGCATGCACCGCCACACCAGGATAATTTTTTTGTATTTTTTTTGTAGAGACTGGGTTTCGCCATGTTGCCCAGGCTGGTCTCGTACTCCTGGTCTCAAATGGTCCTCCTGCCTTGGCCTCCCAAAATATTGGGATTACAGGCGTAAGCCACCATGCCTGGCCCACTTGCTGGAGTTTTAATGTTTTTTCCATACAAGTCTGCATGGCTTGTAACTTTTCACATATGTTGTTGCTGTTGCCATTGTAAAGATAATCCTTTCTTCCTTTTTTTTCTTCCTTCAAACTTTATATATAGAAAAGAAGTTCTGTGCAGTATGTAGTTTCTTGCCAGCAACCTTATTGTTTTTAAGGCATTTCAGTTGTATCTGGATTTCCCAAGCACATGGAGGTGCCATCTTTCAATTTTGCCTTCCTTAGTATAATTTTTCATCTCTTCGGGTTTTCTCTTGCCTTAAATTGACATTTAATAATGGCAGAGACATAATGAAAATATGTCTGATGTTTTGATATCAAGTTTAATACTTATTTTTGGTTTAAGATATGCTTTGTATCATAATATGCACTTATTGTTATTAAGTGTTTTAAAATTTTAATCAGGAATTCTGAATTTTTAAAGTGCCATTTTAGCTGTATGCAGACAATTATGTGGTTTTTTCTTCTTTGACTTATTAATATAGTGAATTGTGTTAATAGATTCTTAATTTGAATTTTCCTTGCATTCCTGTGGGATAAATTCTATTTGGCCATGATTTATTATTATTTTAATATGTTTTAGAATTAGATTTGCTAATATTTTATTTCGGTTATTTGCAGAGATTGTTTTTTGTATGCTATTTCTTCTGCACTTTTTGCCCCCAGATCTTGCCATTCCCAGCAATGTGCTGTCTTTTCTGCAGACCTCTGCAGGGCGCCTCATGTCTGCAAACCTCCATGCCCATTCAGGGCTTTGTCCACCCACCTGCGTAGTTTGCAGTGTACTCGGTGGTTTTTCATAGGGTGTCACTCTTGGTTTTGCTTGTTTTTATTTTTTTTTAATTAATTAATTTTTTTATTTTTATTTTTATTTTTGAGACAGAGTCTGGCTCTGTTGTCCAGGCTGGAGTGCAGGGGTGTGATCTCAGCCCACTGCAATATCTGCCTCCCAGGTTCAAGTGATTCTCTTGCCTCAGCCTCCCAAAAAGCTGGGATTACAGGCACGTGCCACCATGTCCGGCTAATTTTGGCATTTTCGTAGAGATGAGGTTTCACCATGTTGGCCAGGCTGATCTCAAATTCCAGACCTCAAGCGATCCCCATGCCTTGGCCTCCCAAAGTGCTGGGATTACAGGCGTGAGCCACCATGCCTGGCAGGTTTTACTTGTTTTTAATTTTCAAAGATGTACTTTCCTTTTTGGTGAATAGAATATGGAGATGTACTAGGTTTGAATCCTTTATTTAAATGCAAACTCCTGGGCAAGTTTGTTTACCTCATCATGCCTCAGTTTCCTCATTTGTAAAATGGAGATAATGATCACACCTATCTCATAAGGCTGTTGGGGGAATAGATGGATTGTGAATATATGCAGACTTCTTAAAAGGGCATCCAGCACGCAGCAAACATTATGTAAATGCTTGGTTCATTTGGTTAGCTTCAGAGAATCTCAGATTTAACAGGAAGAGCCCAATACTGGTTTTTGTTTTGTTTTGTTTTTTGAGATGGAGTCTCATTCTGTCGCCCAGGCCAGAGTGCAGTGGCGGGATCTTGGCTCACTGAAACTTCCGCCTCCTGGGTTCAAACGATTCTTCTCTGTCAGCCTCCTGAGTAGCTGGGATTACAGGAGTGCACCACCATGCCTGGCTAATTTTTGTATTTTCAGTAGAGACAGGGTTTCACCATGTTGGCCAGGCTGGTCTCAAACTCCTGACCTCAGGTGATCCACCCGAGTTGGCCTCCCAAAGTGCTGGGATTACAGGTGTGAGCCACCGGTGCCAGGTCCCCAATACTGTTTTGATGCTTTCTTTTCTTTTTTTTTTTTCAGACGGAGTCTCGCTCTGTTGCCCAGGCTGGAGTGCAGTGGCGTGATCTTAGCTCACTGCAACCTTTGCCTCCTGGGTTCAAGTGATTCTCTAGCCTTAGCCTCCTGAGCATCTGGGACTACAGGTGCGTGCCACCATGCCAGGCTAATTTTTTTTGTATTTTTAGTAGAGACAGGGTTTCACCATGTTGTCCAGGCTGATCTCGAACTCCTGACCTTCAGGTGATCCACTTGCCTCGACCTTCCAAGGTGCTGGGATTACATGTGTGAGCCACAGCTCCTGGCCCTGTTTTGATGCTTTCAAATGATCAGAGCTTGGAGCTATAGGTGCTTTGGAAGATGCCTCCACTGTGCAGGAAGAATGTTGAGGCCTGTACATGGGAAAATCTTAAATACCTTATTAATCTTAAAGCTAGCTGGCAGAATCAGAACTGATGTTTTATTTTCCTGTTGAAATTCTCTTTCTCTCCTACCACAATTTGGCTCTGGTAACTGTGCTGCGCGTGTGGAGTGGGCAGGGAATCTTGTGATTCCACCGTTGCTATGGCAAGAGCTCCTGTTTCCAAGCAAGGGTTGAATTAAACTAAATGGCAAGTTCCTGTGTCAGTAGGTTTAGTCCAGTCCTGTGTAATTCACCAAGAGCTTTGCTCCGTCAGGAGGAGGGGCCCAGTCCCACCATGAATCCTTGAACACCTGGGGGCATCTCACTGGGCAAGACGGGGGTTCAGGCCAGTCCTCCTCAGAATTGTGCCTTGCCCATTTAACGTCTCCACCGGAGACCTTCAGCCAGGAGAGCCAGGACCACATCTATTCAGAGAAACATTTTCACCATCAGAGGGCACGCAGGGAGGGGGTGGCCACACAGGGCCCATGTTTATCTCTTCCTTGAAGACTTGAGTGGCTTCTGGTCCCCAAACAAATGGAGAAGGTGAATAGGTGTCCCAAGGCTGAGGAGCACGTGCCCAGAGAAGGCGGTTTCTCCCTCCCTCAGTCCCCCATAGCCCACCTCCAGACAGAATGCATCTGATTCCTGTTGGCGTGTCCCTAAATAGCTGACCCCAAGTTCCGTTATAATAGCACTAGAACCTTTAACACTTTTGTTAGTGTTGTTTCTGGGGCGTGCACTCATTCATTCACTCGATTGTATTACTGGGGGCTTTCTCTATGCCAGCCCTTGTGCCTGCCCTTGGGACAAACATGTTCTGACTCTGTGGATGGGTGGAGTAGATCCTAGGTGGGGACAGCTCCTAGGGCTCTCCTGTGAACCTTTCTTCGGCCTCCCACCTATAGTAGGAAACGGGCCTGAAATGGGCCATGGGGGAGTATTCACAGAGCAGAAATCAGACAACACTTCTAAGTAGCGGCTCCTCCTGCAGCTGGGTGTTAAACATGCACAGTACACCCTGCAGGTAGTCACACATGTGACGAATGACGGGCCTTTGGAGACGCCCTCAGACTGGGTGAGCCGTGCCCCTACCAGGCGACATGCTCAGCAGCAGAAGCTCCTGCCGACCCCGGCAAAACACAGGGCGATCGGCCTGTGCTGCGACCCAGGTGTTGGGAGGTGAAGGGGGATCATGAGTATCCCTCTGAGGTGAGGCTGAGCCTCGCTTTAATGACGGACACCTTAGCTCTCCATCCCCCATGTCACCCTAAGAGTATCTGAGTTAGGAGAAGGAGGTCCGGCACTTTGACAGCACCCTGGATATTGTTCTTTAATCCTCCTGGTGAAGAGGCGCCCAAGACAGAGATGGATCTAACTCACGTGTGGCCGGGATGTGCTCACAGGCTGGTGCCATAAGCCTCAGTCTGTGTCCCACAAGAGGCCATTGTGCAGAGACTTTGCTGCCAGCACTGCAGCCTCTGTTCTGTACTGTTGAAATTAGCACCCTGTGTGGGCCTGGGTAATCTTGCTCAATCCCATTAATGTGTCCAATTAATATTGCCTGAAGGGCCGATTTACCTGTGGGCTAGGGAGTTCCCACCTGAGGGGCAATTACTAGCTTGCTATTGAACATTTATTGAAATTGTTCCTATGATTGATTGAAGGACATAAAATAGTCAATTTTTTTTTTTTTGAGACAAGGTCTTGCTCTGTCACCAAGGCTGGAGTGCAGTGGTAAGATCTCAGCTCATTGCAGCCTCTACCTCCTGGGTTCAGGCAGTCCTCCTACCTCAGCCTCCCGGAGAGCTGGGACTACAGGTATGCACCACCATGCTCAGCTAATTTTTGTATTTTTTGTAGAGAAGGCGTTTTGCCATGTTGTCCAGGTTGGTTTCGAACTCCTGGGCTCAAGTGATCCCCCTGCCTCAGCCTTCCAAAGTGCTGCGATTACACGCATGAGCCACTGTGCCTGGCCATACAGTAGTCTTGAAACCTGAAATACTCATACTATCTTGGGTGATATTGGAGAAATGCTCTAACAGAGATTGGTGCCCCAAAGAATTCCATAATAAAATGGACATGTTTTATATAGGATCATCACACTAGGGGATTGAAGAGAGTTACTCATTGCACTCACGAGCAAGTGGTTGAATGCATGGAAATGGTAGACTGGTGGTTGCCAAGAGCAGGAGGAGGGGAAATGGGGCACGGTTTTTAGTGGGTATGAAAATGTTCTGGAGATGGGTTGCCCAACAGTGCAGATATACTTACCACTGCTGAACTGTACACTAAAATGGTTAGGATGGTGTTATGTTATGAGCATTTTGCCACAATTTTAAAAAAGATCTGTATAGACAGTTCTCCAAAGAAAATACACAAGTGGTCAAAAAGTATGTGAAGAAGTGCTAAACGTTAGTAGTTATCAAATGAATGCAAATCAAAGGCACCGTGAGATACCACCTCCCTGCCACTAGCATGGATAGAATGAGAAAGACTGTTAATAACAAGTATTGGTGAGGATGTGGAGCCTCTGGAACATCTGTATTCCTGCTGGGATTGTAACATGGTGCAGCCTCTTTGTAAAACAGTTTAGTGGTTTCTTTAAAAAGTTAAATGTTTTCATATGGTCTAGCAATTCCACTCATATATATATACACCCAAGAGAACTGAAAACATATGCCCCAGAAAGGCATATACACAAATGTTCATAGCAGTATTATTCACCATTGTCAAACACTGGAAGCAACCCATATGTCTGTCAATTGATGAATGGATACACAAATGTGGTACCATACTGTAAACCAAAGAGTATCCGATACAAGTCTTGATCAATTTAGGAAGTTTATTTTGCCAAGGTTAAGGACATGCCTGTGACACAGCCTCAGGAGGTCCCGATGACATATGCCCAAGGTGGTCAGGGCACAGCTTAGTTTTATACATTTTAGGGAGACATGAGACATCAATCAATATATGTAAGATGTACATTGGTTTGGTCCAGAAAGGAGGGACAACTCGAAGCAAGGAGGGGGCTTCCAAGTCATAGGTAGATAAGAGACAAATGATTGCATTCTTTTGAGTTTCTGATTAGTTGTTCCAAAGGAAGCAATTAGATATGCATTTATGTCAGTGTGCAGAGAGATGATGTTGAGCTCTGTCTGTCCTTTGTCCACAGGAATTTCAGTAAGAAATAGGGCAGTGGAGATTTTGAGGTGGGGACTTCCTTATACAGCATATTTGGGGCTGGATCCTTAGGAAGAGGATTTTTAGCTGATCTGAATAGAGGGAAGGAGCCAGCTTGTTGGGGAGAGGAATGTTTTCCAGACTCGAATGGATTTTTGCGAAGACTGGAAACTTGCAGACGGCCAGGGGCGGGGGATCCTGGCAGGGGCCAGGTGGTCTGAGCACATGTGTTTGCAGATGTAGGGCCTGTCCCCACCATCCTGGGGGCATAACTCTAAGGACATTGCTGTTTTTCCAAAGGGCACACGTTGCATAACTTACTTTAAATAATTTCTTTTTGTAGGACTCTTTGATTTTGCAACTGCATTTTTAAGCTTAAGAGGAGGTCATTAAAAGATCTGGCACTAAGCTCACCCTCCCCTTCTTATTCCTTTGAAGCCATTGCTGTGAATTACGTGAGGGAAAGATATTGAAGAGGAGTTGGACACTCCGAGAGTGCAGCTGTTCTCCCCCCGCACCATCCGTGTCCTGCATTCTGCGAGTCTGTGCTCATTAACAATGTGCTGTGACCATGTGACTCAGCAATCCTGCTGCTGGGTATATACCCGAAAGAAAGGAAAAGGAAGCCAGTATATTGAAGAGGTATCTGCACCCCCATGTTTATTGCAGCACTGTTCACAACAGCCAAGATTTGGAAGCAACCTAAGTGTCCATCAACAGATGAATGGATAAAGAAAACGTGGTACATATACACAATGGAGTACTCTTCAGCCATTAAAAAAATGAGATTCTGTCATTTGCAATAATATAGATGGAAAAGGAGGCCCTTATGTGAAGTGAAATAAGCCAGGCACAGAAAGACAAACATCACATGTTCTCACTTATTTGTGGGATCTAATGATCAAAACAATTGAACTCTTGGACATAGAGAGTAGAAGGTTGGTTACCAGAAGCTGGAAAGGAAAGTGGGGTTGGGAGGAAGGTGGGAATGGTTAATAGGTACAAAAAAATACAAAGAATAAATAAGACCTAATATTTGATAGCACAACAGTGTGACTACTGTCAATAATCATTTAATTGTACATTTAAAAATAACTATAATTGCATTGTTTGTAACACAAAAGATAAATGCTTGAGGGGATGAATACTCCGATTCTTCATTATGTGATTATTATGCATTGCATGCCTGTATCAAAACATCTCATGTACCCCATAAATATACACACCTACTATGTACCCACAAAAATTAAAAATAAAAAAATTAGGCCAGGCACGGTGGCTCATACCTGTAATCCCAGCACTTTGGGAGACTGAGGCAGGTGAATCACGAGGTCAGGAGTTCGAGATCAGCCTGGCCAACATGGTGAAATCCCGTCTCTACTAAAAAATACAAAAGATTAGTTGGGTGTGGTGGTGGGCACCTGTAATCCCAGCTACTTGGGAGGCTGAAGCAGGAGAATTGCTTGAGCCCAGGAGACAGAGGTTACAGTGAGCCGAGATTGTGCCACTGCACTCCAGCCTGGGCGATGGAGCGAGACTCCGTCTCAAAAAGAAAACAAAACAAACAAACAAACAAACAAAATATTGAAAACCACAAACAAAAACCCAATGCGCCTGACTCTCCCGACATGTGAACCCACAGCGATGGACCTAGACTTCTCAAGGTTTCTCGACTCCTTTTATACCTGGTTCAACAGGTGGCTGCTTCTTTCTCACGTTGGGGACTCACACTTATGTGGTGGCCCTAGACCCCCAGCTCCCACGTGGGCCAGGTTTCCTCGTGATGTCCAAGGCCTCTTGAATTCTCCCCGTGCAGGGTGAGCAAAGACCTTGTCTGCTGAAGATAAAGTCTCCCAGGGGTGCTTGCTGAAGGAGGGAGAGAGACTTCCAGTTTGCTAGCAGGTGACAAGGGAGACATGTCTGCTCTCCTGAGGGGAGAAGGGGAAGAGGGAGAATGGCCAATGGAGGTGCGGGAGGGGCAGCTATTCCTCGGGGCCCACAAGCCTAGAAGGACAACTTGTGTCTTCTTGGCTGGGACTGCTCCCTTCTCCACCAGCCCCTCAAAGGGAAAGGGCAGAGCTTGTTTTCCTGGGACTATGGAGTAGACTACAGGCAGCCCGTAGCAGGGAGGTCGGCCCTGCTTTCCTCTGGGTTCTCTGGGACGTAAGAGCCTGAGCACCAGACACAGCCCCTGCCATGTTGCTGCCTGAGTGTCTCCATGAAGTGCTTCTTCTCGGCCATGCTTAAGGGGCTCCAACACTGTGTTCCCTGCAGCCTTATCCCCAACTGGGGTGAGCCACCACCCATAGAGTGGTAGGTAGGGGGGGTCCCAGCTCCCAACTCCCAAGCCCCAGGCTACTGCTTATGGCTGCCCTCAAGGTAGAGGGTGAGGGAGGGTCCTTGCGAGGTGTCCTGGCCATGAGGAGCAGAGAGGAAGCAGGGGAGTGGGGTGACCGTGCTGAAACAGGTTGAAGCACACACAGCTGCCGTCCAGAGAGGGAGGTCTGTCAGAGCCCCAGACAAGTGAGGGTTAAAAGTGCATGTATTTCTGAGCAATTCTTAGCATTAGGAAGAGGAATTAGCTCCCTGATTCCTTTCCTGGATGCTTATTTCTACTGCTCATGGATGGGGTGTGTGTGTTTGTGACTGGGCGGGGGGGGCGGCATGAGACCATCAGGTGTTTGTGATGCACCCCCGGGCAGGGGTGAGAACAGCCCTGCACAGACAATGGACACGGTGGCCTCTGTTCCAGGTGAGCATGTCTACGGTCCTAAGAGAACTGCAGGTGCCAGCTCAGGCTGCCTCACATGATACCACAGGCTGGGGGCTCAAATGGCAGACATTCATTCTCTCACTGTTCTGAAGGCTGAAGATCTAGGTGCTGTCAAATCTGGTTTCTGATGAAGGCCTGCTTCCTGGCTTGTGGACACTGTGTCCTCACATGGCCTTTCCTCTGTGCTTATGTGGAGAGAGAAAGAGAGAGAGAGAGAGAGAGAGAAGAGAGCGAGCGAGCGCAGCACCGTGCATCTGTTCCTCTTCTTCTAAGGATGCATCGTCATATTGAATCAGGGACTTACTTATGACCTCATTTCAAAAGTGTGAGTCTCTAATCCAATATGTCCTTCCAAGTGCCATTTATAAGCCATATCGGGATTTAGGGCATCAACATATGAACTACGGGCACATGATCCTGTCCATAACAAGAATCCTGGGTGGTTGGGAGTCATCAGTGCCTAGAAACCCTGGGTCCAGCGGTGGGTCTGGCAGCAAGAGCAGTGTCCTGCTGTGGGACCCGCCCCTAGGCGCAGGCCCCTGCCGTTATATTCAGTCCTCATGGCACTCTGTGTCCAGTGTCTTCACGGTTGAAGTGGATCCATGGAGAAATTGGGAAGACTTCACGTGAAATGACTGAGAATTTGGGAAATGTCGCTATGAAAACAAGTTAAGAGTGGGGTGGTAGAGGGCACCCCTGGCAATGTCCTCAAGTATACAAAGTGCAGGCGCTGTTAATCTCCAAGAGAAAATGGAGTTCCATCACAACCAAAATAACTGGACGCAGGATAAGAGACACCTGTCCTCAAGGCGAGGGTTCCCGGACCCCAGGTGGGCTGCGCTGGACCCCAGGTGGAGACGGGCACAGCGGCTCCCAGGGGTACAAATCTTCCTTGCCTGAAGCAGTCCCTGCCGGTCCTGGAGTGGTCCGTGACACCTGGTCAGGATCTTTGCAGTTGGACAAATGTGTGAATTTGGATACAAGCAATGCAGAAAAACAGGTATCTACTGATCTGGCTTCTTTCTTTCATTTTAGTAATAAAATTTATTTGGTAATCAGTTACTTATCAATTACAGGACATTTGGGAAATAAACATAATCTGCCACCCCGCCACTCAGGGTTGGCTGTTGCCGCTGGCTGTGTATTTTCTTTTCCCTCCGGTTGGATTTCAGGTTGGGAAGTCCGGTCCGGCTGGTCAGCCAGGAGCCGCCGGCCCGGCCTACCAACTGCTCCACACTGCCCCCTCGTGGTCATCTGCTAGGCAGCAGGCTCCGACCTCCGGAAGGCTGGGCGCTCAGCCCCATCTCCTGACTTCCTTAGGGCACAGGAACTGGTGGAGCTCAGCCTCGACTGGGGCTCAGACATTGTCCACAGGCCTTTCTGAGCAACCTGGACTCCATACAGGGAACTGATTCACGGGGAAAGGGCTGGCCACGTTCAAGGATGCCCAGGCCATCTGGGGAGCAGTGGATGGAGCAGGGGACCTTGAAGTTGGAGAAGTAGGCGCTGGTGGGCGGCCTACATCTTTGTCTATGTGACAGCCACTCTGCTCCCCGCCCAGGAACTTGCAAAGGATGAACTGGACATGGGGATCACAGGAAAGTCTCGATTTCTTGCTGATTAAGTGGGTGGGTTGTCAGAACACCAAAATATGGGGGCACGCTGGCCAATGTAAAACGTTTGTCCTCCCAGAGGCACACTGGTGGCCTCTCTGCCCTTTCCTCCTGTCTTCACTACCCCACTGATGCCGCCTTTCATAACCCGAGACTCTGACACTGCAGCATGTGGTTTGGCTGATCTTGACTTTCTCAGCAGGAGATGGAACTCAGCTAAACATGGCTCTCTTGGTTGCGGGAGGCCCCTGCAATCCGGAATGCCTGAAGGACGGGGGGCTTCCTGACCTCTTCTAGTTACAGGACCCACGGGGTGGAGTCAGGTGTGGCCTGACTAGGGATTGGGTGCTGTGGCAGGACTCATTTCTGCAGCTTCAGGGCTGGCTTCTTGCTGGGACAGACTCCCTCCTGGCAGCAGCTGGTCACAGAGGTAGCTTTGGTCCCCATTGAGCTTATTCAAGTCCAGTGGAGGTGGGGCTGGTTGTGACAGCCTCCTGATGCTTAAGCCAAACGCTCAGAATTAAGTCTACTTCCTGCTGTCACATGCCCTCTGTGGAGTGTCACCAGGGCCAAGGAGACTGAATATGCTGCTGGGTAGGCTTGGGCCACACACCTCTTTTCTAGGGCTGGAGTTAGCAGCTCCTTCCCCAGAGTCTTATGACTGCGAGTCAAGGGAAAAATAAACTCCGCAATGAAAACCCGGGGTGAGAGAAGGGGGTGAGTGGGTTATGCAGGGTGGCCCCAAACAAATGTCCACCATATGGCTATCTCTTAACCTTCTGAGGGCTGGTAGCCAAATGAATTAAAAAATGATGGGAGGGCGCGGTGGCTCACGCCTGTAATCCCAGCAATTTTGGAGGCTGAGGAGGGTGGATCACGAGGTCAGGAGATCGAGACCCTCCTGACTAACACGGTGAAATCCTATCTCTACTAAAAAAAATAATAATGCAAAAAAATTAGCCGGGTGTGGTGGCACACGCCTGTAGTCCTAGCTACTCAGGAGGCTGAGGCAGGAGAATCGCTTGAACTGGGAGGCAGAGGTTGCAGTGAGCCAAGATCGCGCCATTGCACGCTAGCCTGGGTGACAGAGCAAGACTCCATCTCAAAAAAAAAAAATTCTTTTTTTTTTTTTTTTTGAGATGGAGTTTCACTCTTGTTGCCCAGGCTGGAGTACAGTGGTGAAATCTCAGCTCACTACAACTTCTACTTCCTGGGTTCAAGTGATTCTTCTGCCTCAGCCTCCCAAGTAGCTGGGATTACAGGCACCAGCCACCAGGCCTGGCTAATTTTTTGTATTTTTAGTAGAGATGGGATTTCACCATGTTGGCCAGGCTGGTGTCGAACTCCTGACCTCAGGTGATCCACCTGCCTCGGTCTTCCAAAGTGCTAGGATTACCTTGCCTGGCCAAAATTGATCATTTCTTTCCCACTAAATTTAAAGAACATAGATGTCAGCCAACAGTGGTGGGAGCTTCTCTCTTTTTTTTTCTCTTCTTGTTAAATTTTAAAGAGATTTTATTCTTTACTTTTTAAACTTGATTTTGAAATAAGTTGGAACTTAAAGTTGCAAAAACAGTACAAAAATTTTCTGTATGCCTTACCCCAGTTTCCCCAGTGTTTACACCTCACATAATTATGTTAAGATAGTCAATCCCAGGGACTTAGCATTGATGCAGTACTGTTAACGAATCCACCCATGCTCTTCAGATTTCATCCATGGCCCCACTGATGTCTTTCTCTGATCCAGGACCCAGTCCAATATCTCATGCTGTATTTAAGTCATCAAATGTCCTTGGTCTCTTTTAGTCTGGAATGGTTCCACAACTTTTCTTTGTCTCTAATGACCTTCAGACTTTTTTTAAAGAGTACTGGCCATGATTTTGTGGCACGTTCCTCCTGATTAAATGTAGCTTATGCATTATTTTTTGCAAGAATATCATAAGAGTGACGTGGTATCCTCCTCAGTGTGTGGTATCAGAGGGCACATAAGGCCAGTATGTGGCATGACTGATGATGCTAACCCGGCTCACCTGGTGAAGGTGCTGTGTGCAGCTTTCTCCTCGGGGCAGTTGCTATTTTTCCCTATGTAATTAATCTGTATCTCCATACCGGCCTTTTCATGCACTGACTCACAGTGTCTGCCAAGTTAAGTCTTTTAGCTGCTGTCCCAGCCACTGCCTTGGAAGGAGCTTCTGTCTGCAGCTACCCACTGCAAGAAATGGGCGAAGCCTATTTGGAGCTTCACTGAAACCAAGAGGACAAAGCTGGCTGGGGGTCCACAAGGAGTTCCTCATCAATGACCTCCAACACCCAGTGTGTCCAAAGACAAAGGCAATGCTACCACTTTTGGGGGGAGTTTGGCAATAGTGAGCATGAGTAATTTTAAATGAAGCAACCACTTTTTCTTTTTTTTTTTTGAGATGGAGTTTCGCTCTTGTTGCCCAGGCTGCAGGAGTGCAATGGCGTGATCTCAGCTCACCACAACCTCTGCCTCGTAGGTTCAAGCGATTCTCCCGCCTCAGCCGCCTCAGCCTCCCGAGTAGCTGCAATTACAGGCATGCGCCTGCATGTGCCACCATGCCTGGCTAATTTTGTATTTTTAGTGGAGACGGGGTTTCTCCATGTTCGTCAGGCTGGTCTCAAACACCCGACCTCAGGTGATCCGCCCACCTCGGCCTCCCAAAGTGTTGGGATTACAGGCGTGAGCCACTGCACCCGGCTGCAACCACTTTCTTAACCCATTTATTTGTGACTGTGTTGTTTCCAGATCAGTAAGAACATATTGTGGAATGGACTTTGCTGCACATAAGTACTTGCTGATGTCTATGCTTTTCTCTACAGTTGAGAAGGTTCTGTTTTTCAAGGTGAGCCTAACCATGGGCAAGATGACCACATTTGTGGCCGGTTCTGGTGGCTGCAGCCCATGGAGAGGAGTGGTTTTGGCACATCTCCTTATGGACTTCGGCTTCCTCTCCTGTCACCACTCCCCACCCCAGAGCTCATTCGGGGTTCTCATTCACTACTTCTGTCATTCCTCACCTGGCTTCTGGAAGAATATTTGAGTTGCAGGAGGTTTTGCTACTCTCTAGTCCTATATTTGTACAAAGAAATGGAATTTTGTTTGGGAAGGGGAGGATGTTCTTCATTAGAAAAGCAGTCTAGACCTGGGTGCAGTGGCTCACGCCTGTAATCCCAGCACTTTGTGAGGCCGAGGTGGGCGGATCACGAGGTCAGACCATCCTGGCTAACACGGTGAAACCCTGTCTCTGCTAAAAATACAAAAAATTAGCTGGGCATGGTGGCGGGCGCCTGTAGTCCCAGCTACTCGGGAGGCTGAGGCAGGAGAATGGTGTGAACCCGGGAGGCGGAGCTTGCAGTGAGCCGAGATCGCACCACTGCACTCCAGCCTGGGCGACAGAGAGAGACTTCATCTCAAAAAAATAAAAAAATGAAAAAAAAGAAAAGCAGTCTAAGTTGGGAGATTGCACCATTAGCAAGTATTAAGCACTATTTGCTGCATAGCAAAATATCTCAAAACTTAGAGGCTTAAAACAATCCTTCCTTCCTTCCTTCCTTTCTTCCTTCCTTCCTTCCTCCCTCCTCCCCTCCCTCCCTCCCTCTCTCTCTTTCTTTCTTTCTTCTTTCTTTCTTCTTTTGACAGTCTTGCTCTGTCACCCAGGGTGGAGCACAGTGGCACGATCTTGGCTCACTGCAACCTCCACCTCCTGGGTTCAAGCAATTCTTGTGCCTTAGCCTCCTGAGTAGCTGGGATTACAGATATGTGCCCCACACCCAGCTAATTTTTGTATTTTTAGTAGAGATGGGGCTTTGCCATGTTGGCCAGGCTGGTCTCGAACTCCTGACCTCAAGGGATCCTCCCGCCTTGGCCTCCCAAAGTGCTGGGATTACAGGTATGAGCCACTGAGCCTGGCCCAACGATACCCCTTTTCTTTGGTTTACTAGTCTAGGAGTTGGTTGGGCATTTCTTCTAGTTTGGGCCAGCTTGATGGTCTCTACTGGACAATTCCATGTGTCTGTGGCCAGTGGGCAGCCAGGCAGCTAGGACACCTTGATGCTGCTCTCTGTGGCCTCTTATCCCCTGGCAGGCCCGACTGGGCTCATTCCCATGGTGGTTTTGGGATTCTAAGCCTGTGCAGCACTGTTCAAGTCTCTGCTTCTGCGGCATTTGTTACCGCTGCACTGCAAACGTGGATGAAAGCCCTAATGCGTGGCATGCTCGTGGAGACCCACTCAGTGTTATCTTCTTAGTTCCTTTGGAATATCAGGGTTCACTCTTTCAGCAGGGCACAACTTCCAAGAGTGAGAGGGAATGTTCTCTGAATTCCTCCAATCCATAGCTCACTCTTCTTAGGTCGAGCAGGAATAATGGTATTTGACGCTGCATGGTAATCTGGCCCTAAAGTGGATTTCCATCACCCCGCTGGTCTCTGGTCAGCATCTGAGGGGTCTGACTGTTCACGGGTGACTCCACCCTACACAGACACCCCCGCTTTGGGGGCATGAAATCTTAGGATGGTGCTGAGATTGTGCTGCTCTGATGCTTTGGGATGAAAGCTAGACTTTGGTCGTGGTGGTGGTGGTTTATCATTGCTGTGGATTGAATTGTGTCCTGCATTTACCAAATTCATATGTTGAAGCCCTCACGCCCAATGTGATTGTGTCTGGAGACAAGGTCTGTAGAATGCAATTAGGGTTAAATGTGTCACAGGGTAGCCCTAATCTGATATGACTGTGGTCTTATAAGGAGAGGAAGAGAAAGAGCTTCTTTTCTCTCCACCATGTGAGAACACACTGAGAAGGCACTTGTCTGCAAGCCAGGAAGAGAACCCTTGCCAGGAACCAAATCAGCTGACACCTTGATGTGGACTTCCCTACCTCTAGAACTATGAGAAAGTAATTTTCTTTTATCTGTAAGCCACTCAGTCAATGGTATTTTGTTTCAGCAGCCGGAGCCAACTAATACATGCGGCCACCTTCTCTCCATGCCTGCACTTTCTGTTCCAAGCCATCTGGTGGAAGCAATCCAATTGCCTGCAGAATCATCCGAAAGCATCACTGGGAAGAAGCTGGTGGAACTAAGAAGCAATTCTTTAGCCTGACAGCCAGTCTGTTTTTAGTATTTCTAAACATGAAATCATCTCAGAAGAAGCCAAGGGCTGTCGAGGTGATTTGCCTGAGGTCCTACAACTCATCACTGACTGTGTTTGGAGGAAGGAAGTAATTAACTATAAATGTGATTATAAGGGTGGGGCCTTAATCTGATAGGACCAGTGTCCTTATAAGAACAGGAAGTGTGTGCGTTCACTGAGGAAAAGCCATGCAAGAACACAAAGAGAAGGCGGCTGTCTGCAAGCCTGGAGGAGAGCTCTGCCTAGAAACTAATCCTGCCGGGCATCTTAATCTTGGAATTCCAGCCTCCAGAACAGTGAGAAATAAATGTCTGTTGTTTAAACTACTCAGCCTGTGGTATTTTGTTATGACAGCCTGAACGAAAAAATACAGTCACTTAATGTCCAGAGAGAAAAAACATGTTTGAAGCTAAGAAACCATCCACTCAGGGAGGATCAGTCATCAATCCTCCTGAGTCTGAGCCATCTGAGCTATCAGCCCAAGTTCCTAGAGGCTCTAAGGACAGGGGAGTTCACCTGTGGCTAGTCTCCTGAGCTACAATGAGGTATGGGGTGTGGGTGTGTATTTTCTCCTGTTGCATTTCCGTTTTTTTTTTTTTTTACATGAAGTTTCACTGTGATGCCCAGGCTGGAGTGCAGTGGCACAATCTGGGCTCACTGCAATATCCACTTTCCGAGTTCAAGCAATTCTCCTGCCTCAGCCTCCCGAGTAGCTGGGATTACAGGCACACGCCACCATGCCCAGCTAATTTTTGTCTTTTTGGTAGAGATGGGGTTTTACCATGTTGGCCAGGCTGGCCTCAAACTCCTGACCTCAAGTGATCTGCCTGACTTGGCCTCCCAAAGTGTTGGGATTACAGGCGTGAGCCACCATGCCTTGCCTCTCCTGTTGTATTTCTAAGTCAGTTCAGAAATGGGTCCTGAAGAAGAGGGTGAAGGGTTAGAGGCAACAGCTTCAGCTCTATTTGAAATCTTAATTCATGACATCTCGTTTCTGAATGGTGAGACATAAAGATCACCACTTACATGTCATTAAGCACAGAACCCTTGATAAATTAATGAGAAAACACATTCTCACTTCATTTTATGAAGTCTAGGTTATATGGCTATGTCCCTCCTCACATGTATGTACATTAGCAGTAAAGACACACCTCAGCAGGTCAACTCAGTTTTCCATGGATAAATTATTTTCTTAAGTTTCTTTTTGAGCCACACACACCAATAATACCAGACAGAGCTGAAATTCTGCCATCATTGTTTTGGAAAATGGTCAATTCTGTGCACTTATCCTAGATGAGTTCTTTTCCCTGAGAAGTGATTTTAACATTCTCTTGAATCCAGACAAACATGTGATGATTATATGTAGCATTTTCTCCAGAAACCATGTTTATTTTCACCACTGGGAATTACTTTTCTTGGGCTTTTGTGGTACAATTTCCCTGAATGTGTTCCAACCATGTGCATAAACACAGCAGCAGTGTGTTACAAACAAATTCTACTCCTTGCCAAGTGTCCAGGAATATCAAAAGCAAATATTTCCTAGTATTGCTTAGGAGAGTAAAAAAGGAGTGATGAAAGTGAAGACATTTCAATTTGAATTGATACCACATTTGACAATAAATTTCTCCAGGCAGTGACGACTGGATAGGACTTGAATGGAAGGCCCTCTCACCTTTCCCCTTCCACCTGAATTTTGCACCTGTCTCCAAGGGTTTGCCTGCACCTTGCCTCCGGAGGTCCTGTCCTCCAGCTTCGGTTATTTACTGCATCACATTCACCACCAATTGCTGCCCTTCTTCTTTCTGCCCTTTCACAGGCCAGACGTTGGTTTGTTCATCCATTGGGAATATTTATTTATTAAAATCAATAAATACATATTTATCAGTGTAAAACATACTTATTATTCAAAGAATCAAACAGAACCGAAAATCTCACAATGAAAAGAATAAGTCCCCTTGCCCCTCCCCAAGGTCCCCCAGCCCAGCTTCTCAGAGTCACTCACTTTTAAACTTCTTAGCAGTTTCTTCTGCTAGTCACCTCCATAGCTTTTAGTCAGTATGCTCATATAATTACTTCTTGATTTGATCAATTTTATTAAGTAATTGTGAAATGATTTTCTGTAATGACAGATTTTCTTGCCTCATGTTTTTGTCTTCTCTCACATCTTATCATACAGTTGAATCAATAATCAATATTTTTATTACTAGGATAGCTATTTACATATTGTTCACTGAGGCCCCAAGAGGTGAATATACAATGTGTCCATTTCCTGTTTTGTGGAGCTTTTTGTTTCTGCTGGAGTTTTTAATTGCCTCATTTTTCACTTGTATATTTTCTAGCCACATATTTTTGTTATTGTCCCCAAATGTTCAATTTTTATAATTTGTTCTACTAGATTTCTCCCTTTCCCCAAGAGTCTTCCCTTCTGCATACTTCTATAAACCCGTCACATCTGGGCTGCTTGCCCTCTAGGCCTGTGGCGCATTTCTCACCCTAGAGCTGCTTCTTACTCTCCTGGGTGGGGCCTACTGTTTCTTTGCTTCCTTGTTTTCCTAATGTTACTGGACATTATTTTCAGTAGCTATTTAAGGAAGGGCCAAGAAAGGTCAATTTTATGAATCTTTATATGTACGAAAATTTCTTTAGTCTGTCTTTACATGTGATGAATACTTTGCTGAATGTATAATTTCAGGCTGAAAATAATTTTCCCTTGGAGTTTTTTAGGTATTAGTGTCTTCAGGAAGATAGCAGGCAACATAACATCTTCACTGATAATGAGGTGGTAAGTGAAGGCCTTAACTTTAAAGTTAAAGATTTAAAGATGCCCCTAGTTCCACCTCCTTTATACAACTCATTCACCTGTTTGCTTAACACTGAGCCAGTGCTCGGTGCTTCACAGTGGTCATTCTTTACAGGCTGAAGGGTCTTTGCCTAGGTGGTTTGTGTCTATCAGTACATCCAAATATCTTTCCCTTTATAAAAAATAGTGTTTGTCATTTTCTCAGCAGGGTTTTTTTTTGTTAATTTTTTTGTTACGAGATAGTACCCCCCACACCCCCCAACTTGTGGTTGTCTTTCCTTTCAAATTGGAATGACTCGTCTATTTCTCAATAGATCTGAAGGACTGCTGCAGGTCGTGTTTTCTTCTTCAGTTTTGCTGGCAGCAAGCCAGGGTTGGGTGCCAACAGCACAGGGTGACACTGAGGCCAGGGCTGCAGGGTGTGTTTGGGTGAGGCCTACATGTTTCCTCTATAGAGCTGCAGTGGAGACAAGAGCCAAGACAAGGAAATTAAGGAGCAGCAGAGGAAGGGTGGGCATGAGGATGTGCTCCTGGTTGCATTCTAACTCTCTCAAACACCCTCTTGGGTCCTTTCTGCCCAGTGATGGAGCCCAGGCACCAGGCTGGCATCAGGTCTCAGCCCACTGCTGAAGGGAGGGAGGGAAGGAGAATAAAACTTGGCCTGTGTGATAGCATGAAAATCAATTATAATTTTGAATTTGGAAAACAAAGCTCTGACCCTTGAAAGACAGACCACCTTCAGAAAGATGCTTCGCAAACAAATTTAAGATCCAGGCAGGGAACAGCATTTCCTGTCACCAAAAAACCCCTGCAAGTTCATTTCCCTCCAAAACACGATTTCTGCAATCTTCTGCTTTTCCAGGCACATAAGCCACTGCCTTAAGCTCCTGAGGTACATGGTAGAAGAGGACAAGGACAGTTGGCTCTGGTTCCTATGTCCCTGAGTGTGTGGGTGGGCCTCTGGTCCCCATATCCCCGTGCGTGGGTCAGGACCTGGTCTGGAGCGTCCCTGGGTGTGCAGGGAGGGCTGGTCTCAGGGTTCCCCAGGTGTAGGTGGTGGGATCTGTTCCTTTTTTGTGGTCATCCAGCAGGGTGTGCATGAGGTCAGGGTGGCACACAAGGTCCTCTCAGAACCTCTTCTTCATGCTCATCGTGCCTGTGGAATGTCCCAGGCCAAACACAGCCTTGAGGGACTCTGAAGGGTCCTCCATGGCTGCAGCCCTTGCTCTTGCTAGATGTGTTGTGTCTGTGAAGATGTTTCCATATAGATTCCAGGCTGCTGAGCAGGTCTCTCCTATGCAGGCAGGAAATGGGGTTGCGGGGAGGGGCAAGAGAAGATAGAGACAGTTGGAGGTAGGGTACATATGGAGATGATTAGTTTGGTGATCTTCAGTGGTCAATGCACTAAAGATCATGGGAAAGGAACTGTTATGGCCTGAATGTTTGTGTCCCTTGAGATTCCTGTGCTGAAACTGACTCTCCAGTGTGATGTCAGTAAGAGGTGGGGCCTGTGGGAGGGGATGAGGTCATGAGGGTGGAGCTCTCGTGAATGGGACTAGTGCCTTCCTGAAAGAGACCCCAGAGAGCTGCCTCACCTCTTCTACCACATAGCGAGAAGGCGCTGTCTCTGAGGAAGGAGCCTTCACCTGGCCAGACAACACGTCTTCTGGTGCCTTGATCTTGGACTTCCCAGCCTGTAGAACTGTGAGAAATAATTTTTTGTTGTTTATAAGCCACCTAGTTTATGGTATTCCATTATAGCCACCCAAATGGATGAAGACAGGAACTAATACCACTCATGGGCTGAGCTTCCCCAAAGGCAAGGCCCTGCCAGGGAGGTTGGTTGGTGGAACGGCAGGAGTGGTGTCAGTCCTGCCTGTTCTCTCCCAACAGCTACGCAGACACACAGAAACTTGTGGATTTCGTGCAGAGGGGCCATGCTCTGTTTTTAAAAATTCTACTATTGATATACTTCAACAGGGTCCAGGTTGTCTCATTACCTCGTCTTTAAAGTCTTCAATAATGAATAAAGTGAATAGGAGCTGGCAGAACAATCCTTACCTCTCTCCTGACTGTGGAGGTCTTGTGGGTGGGAGATGACACATTTCTATACCATCCCTTTTCTGCCCACAGAAAATAGTGGGAAAAGATACCCAAGAACATCACACAAAGGAAAGAGAGATTTGATCTGCCTCTGTCTGCCCTGCTGGGCTGTGGGGCAGGGTGCCCTGGGCCTCAGTGTCTGCTCTATGCATGAGCAGAGAAGGCAACCAGCTGTGGGCAAGGGGAAAATGGACCCTAATTCTGGATTTAGCCACAATAGCTTGTGCTGCCCAGAATTCTCCTTTGCTCATGGCAGATTGTGGTGTGTGTGTCCACGCTGGAACAGTGTGAGCGGAGGGGTGGGGGGTATCATTTTCACTTGGTTCCATGGAGAAACCTCAAGGGAAACTGAACTTGGGCTCCAAATCTTAGTTTGTTCTACCACTCCGTAGCCTTTTCTGTTGACCCCATGTCCTGCTAGGATACTTTTGTGTCCCAGGATTTGCTCTGGTGTGACAAGAGGGCCAGAGTTAAACAGAGGAGCAGAGAAGCTTAAAAACTGGAACGTTCCCAGGGATGGTGCCAAGGTTGGTAAGCAAGGTTGAAAATGGGGCTGTGCACACACAGGGTACAGGGGAGAGGCTCCAGTTTCCTCTTCTCTGCAGGAACTAGAAACCAGCTTTAAATGTGCCCCTTGCCACATGCACACCTGTGATGCCTCCAGAAGTCCCCACTGGCCTGGCCTTGTGTAGGGGTGTGTAGACACGCCTCTCACATACCCTGTCCCCCTGGGGTGAGCCTGGCTGAGGGCAGGGCTGAGCGTGGTGTGGGGCAACCCCAGCATCACCCCTGTTCTAGATGCTTTCAGGGAGGGTGGCCCTGCAGGGATCAGAGGGCTGGCACACACAGGCTCCAGAATCAATGCAAGGCAGTGGGGAAGACCTCTCAAATTTCTTGCGAGCCACCCACTGTGCCCATCTGAGGACAAGGCCCAGCAGGGAGCCACTGGCCCCACTGCCTTGCCTGTGCCCCACTGTACATTGACACTTGGAATAGGGCATGGCTGTCACCTCACTTATTTTTACTATTTCCTCTTGATAGAGGCAGGAGGCAGAGAAACTCTAGACAGACAGGAGTTGGTCCCTGGTGAAGCCCCACTTTCAAGCCAAAAAGCCTGACACCCACGGCTTAAAGTGAGAACTTCCGTCCCTCTTTGCCTACTCTCTCCCTATTAGTTTTTTCTGAGTAATGTGTTTTTTCCATTTGAATGTTGCCTTTTCCAAAACTACTTATGGCCTGCCCCACCCCCCATCCTGTGCTTATAAGGACCCCAGATTTAGCTGGTAGAGAGAAGCAGCTGTACTTCAGAGAGAGGCAACTTGATTTCAGAGGAGGGAGGCAGAGAGGCTGCTTGACTTCAGGGGAGAGTGACCTGTCCTTTCCATCCCCTTTCCAGTTCCACTCTCTGCTGAGAGCCACTCTCATCACTCAATAAAATTTCCACATTCATCATCCTTCAATTTGTTCATGTGACCGCATTCTTCTTGGAACTGGACAAGAATTCAAGACCTACCAAATGTGGGTACCAAAAAGGCTGTCACACTGGCCCTTTGCCCTCACTGGTGGAGGGCAGCTGCCCCACGCAGCGAGACAAAAGGCCCACTGAGCTGATAACACACTGCTGTCTGTGGACAGTAGAACTAAGTATTGCAACATGCCCTCTGGGGCCTTGGGATCGCAGGCGCCCCCACCTGGATGCTGACGCAGGGCCTGCACTGAGTTTTCTCTGCTGGCGCCAAAATGGCCAGCTGGTTCCTGCATTGGCTTGCCTACTCGCTCCCTCTGGCAAGAAATGGAGTGTGGTGGGCTGGAGTAAACCGAGTTTGCTCTTGTCTGCACAGAAGCCAGAATTGGCGGGCTGGTTCCTGCACTGGTTCGCTCATGTGCTCCCTCCTGCGAGGGGTTGAGCATGGTCAGCTGAGTAAAAGGGGCACCCTTCTCGTGAGTCCTGCAAAAGGGTCAAGAAAATATCCTGCCTCACTCTCATCCATGTCCCCTGGAGAGCATGCACCTCCAATGCCGATGCTCTCTTGGGAGCAGGAAGAGGGAAAGTGAATCAGGAATATTGGGTGATTTTAGCCTTTGGTCAGACATACTTTATGGCAAATTTCCACCAAAGAGGCAATTTCAACAAATACAATATTCTGTGGCAGACACTGCTTCTTTCTCTAATTCGCATAACACTAAGAAAACATTTCCCTCTATTAATGGAGATAGGAAAGAGACAGATAATGGATCCACTGGCAAGGCGTGGCTGCCCTCCACACTATTGATTTTTCTAGCCATGAAGTTGTCTCAGGCCAAATGCAGTCAGCTGAGAGGCAGTAATGGAGGGGGAAAGGGTCTATCGTGTGTATATGTAATGCATGCTGCTAAGTTGATGAATCTTTTGGAAGGACTCTGTTTGCTGTGGAAAATAGGCCAGGGTATGCAGGCCATCAACTGCGTGGAAGATTTCATTAGAAACAGAAATTCTCCACTCAATGTGGGCATCGTTTTCTGCCTGCCGACTCTGTGGCTTCCTGGCAAGGCCAGTGAATGAGGACCCTGCAGCAGCTGCGCACATTTCGACAACAGTATTTTGTTGAGTCTCAACACAGAATTCTTTCATTCTTTAACACAAATTCTGAAATTGAGATGGGCCTTACTATTAGCAGCAAAATAGACTTGCTTGGTTCCAGGCAGAGGATGGAGCTCAGAAGCTGTGTCGTTGCTGTGAGGACACGAACGTGCCATACATATGACTGTGGACCAGCTCCCTTCGTGTGGGCAGCGTTGCAACTGGCGGCATTGTAGTTCAACTTTGTGCTCTTTACTTTGACCTAATGTGTCATCACAAAACCCCACTATAAAATTATGTAGCTATACTTTGTTGTAAGTTAAAAATTATATGTTGTACATACAATTTATCTGTTTTTATATAAAATAAAAGTTAAGCTTCACGGAGGAAATTGCCTGCTGTGTTCCAGCCAGGAGAGCTCAAGAACCTCCCTGCGCTTTGCAATGAGTGAGGGGCACCTTATGGTCCACTGAAAAGCAGAGTTTCCAAGTCAGGAACAACTCTCTGTTAAGAAGAGGGCTCACGTTTGAAGGAAACTCATCTAACAGTCACATAGGATAACTGTGACTTAACCAAGTGGCAAATGAGCATGAGGTCCTGGCATTTTTGAGGTATGTTTTGAAATAATTTCTATCCATGTAGGACAGGGTTCTTTTATTTTTTTATTTTATTTTATGTTTTTAGGTTCAGGGAGCATGTATGTGGGTTTGTTACATGGATAAATTGCATGTTGCTGAGGTTTGGGGGTGAGTACTACCATGATATCATCACCCAGGCAGTGAGCATAGTACCTGATAGGTAGTTTTTTGTGTTTTTTTTTTCAACTTTTATTTTAGGTTTAGGGCTGGATTACAAAAAAATCACTGGTGGGTTCTATGCTTAGTACCTGGGTGACAAAATAACCTGTATACCAAACCCCTGTGCACGAGTTTACCTGTATAATGAACCTGCAGCAATGGGCACACAGAGGGGAACAACATGTAGGACAGAGTTCAAACCTTAAGGGATCAGGAGCAGGAGCAAGAGTTGGTAAAAATAAAAATAAAAGTCTACCATCTGCGGCTGGGTGAAAGGTCAGTGGGCCGGGGCATTCCCAAACTATTCAAACTCATTCTCAGGACTCGGCTGCCAGCAGAGGAAGGATATTATTGTCAGTTGTGTGCGTGTTTCAGTGTTGTGTTTTCCCTCTCAACCCCCGAAAAGCTGATCTCAGGAGGAGCTGGGGAGCTCTGGGCTCTCCTAGACCAGTCTGAGGATGCCACATAATACAGAGTTTTGGGCTTTTGGAAAGACACCGAGATGCGCTCTGCGAAGCCTTCTCAGCCCTGATCAGTGGCACATGGAGGACGCTGACCCAGGCAGCACAAGCCTGCCGGCAGCCTCTTTCCATGCAGCGCTGTAATTTCTAAAGAAGGGAATCCGCACGGTGAGACTTGGGTGTATAAGGCATTCTGGGGTTGAAAAATCGAAAATCATGATTAAAAATGACCTATCGGCATCTGTGCAGAGCCTGTAGACTGGCACTGGGGGCTATGTGTCACCTCGGCCCATTGGATCTTATTGATTTGTCTGGTCATTCAGCCTCTGGTCGTTCAAGCCCAGGGCAGGCAGCTCAGCAGGAGCAACAATGGTGAGTGTGGGGTGCACACCTCTGCAGGTCAGGCTTCTAGGGCAAAAGGGAATTCCAAAAGCCTTTGCCTAAGACACTCTCAGAGTAACTGATTCACAGACAAAGATGAGATTGCTAACATTTTTATTCTTGTGATTTCGTGAAGCAGGAACAAGTGCAGGTAATTCTGCAGGCTCAGGACTCTGAACGAATCTCCACTGGGGATACAGGTACACATTCCATCTGCATCTTTCAGGCAGACAAGGGGAATGAGCAAGGAAATTCTCTGCCTTTGAAAAAAAATGCACCTACAAAAAGGTGCAAAAGCTAACAAAGAAACAAAAAAACAAGCAAAAAACAAAGACAAACCTGGTTCTGTGTCAAGGCTTTGCAAATGCCAAATGGAAAGTTGGTTTTTCTTTGCAGCTCCCTGCAGCCTCCTCCACCTGCCCAGAAGCTCTAGAGACACTGCCTGGGACAGATTCTTGGCAGGTGGGATTTGTGGGGCACCGTGGTTCTCTTTTGCCCCTGGAAATGGTAGGCTGTGCTGGGGAAGAGAACGTGTAGGTCCTCAGGGTCTTTGCTTTCTTGAGGAAAAAAATGACTCAGCTTTCTTGGTGGTTAGAGCCCACATAATTTCATTTCAAGGGCTTGTTTTATATGTGGGAAAATTGCACATACACCCAATATACGATTGTTGAGGGTTTTTATAGATCCCCTTCACCACCAGGGGGCCCATAACTCCAGGTTAAGAATACCCCGAGAGAAAATTTTGCAGAGTGCAGGAAATGAAACCAAACCATATTTCCACAGACACCACAGTTAATATTTTGCTTTTCTTTTCAGTCTTTCTCAAAAGTTTATGCTTTCAAAAAGCCCTTTTCCATAAAAATTATTCACAAACTCTTTTTTGATGGCTACATAATACTCCGTCTCCAAATCATAGTTTACTGTTGGATTTTTAGGCTGTTCCCATTTTTTGACCATTAGAAACAGCACTCTTGTCATCACTGTGTGGATATAATTTTGTCTCTTTTTCATTTAATTTCCCTTGCATATACTTTTAGAAGTGGAACGACTAGGTCAGAGATTTAAATAATTTTTAATTTCTTGATACACATTGTTAAATTCTCATTTTCAGATATGTTGTCCCAATTCTCAATTTCAACAATAGTAGAGTGAGTGGAGTGGGCTTCCTATGCCATCCTTGCTGTCATAGACTGCTAGCATTTTCAATGTTTACAATTTCTTGGGTAAAACATGCCATTCCAGTGTGGCTCAAATCTGAACTTCTTTAATGACTGTGAGCGCAAACATTCATACAGGCACTTGTTTGCATATTTGTTTCTTCTTTTTTGAAGGTTCTGTCTCTTGTTTATTTTTTTCTTTTCTTTTCTTTTTCTTTGAGACAGGGTCTTGCTCTGTTGACCAGGCTGGAGTGCAGTGGCACCATCTCGGCTTACTGCAACCTCTGCTTTCCTGAGCTAAAGTGATTCTCCCATTTCAGCCTCCTGAGTAGCTGGGACTACAGGTGTGCACCACCATGCCTAGCTAATTTTTGTATTTTTAGTAGAGACAGGGTTTTGCCATGTTGACCAGGCAGGTCTTGAACTTCTGGGCTCAAGCAATCCTCCTGTCTCAGCCTCCCAAAGTCTTGGGATTACAAGCATGAGCCACCACACCTGGCCTATTTTACAATTAGGGTTTTCTCACCAAATTTGTGAGTTCTTGAAATATTATAAATAAACTTTCTCCTATTTGATGTCAACATTTCCCCTTTTGCTTACTGCATTATTTAATTTTGTTTATAGTAATTTCAGTTCTATTAGTTTTTTTGCTATTTTTTATGCAAAATCTCCTACCCCTATGCAAAAGAAAGGTAACTATTCACCTACAGTTTTTCTAATACTTCTATGATTTCAGATTTATATTTCACCTTTTAATCCATTCAACATTTATCTTGATATGTAACATGAAGTTAGACTAGAAAGCTGATTTATTTTCCCTCAATAAGATCAATAATTTTCCTAGCAGCAAGTATTGACTAATCCATTACAGTTTGGTTTGTGATTTGTAAAATATGTTAAGTTCTTATCAATAGAAATATGTGGTAGGCAGAATCATAAGACATCCCTGAAGATCATGCACATCCTGGGACTATGAATTTTCACTTAATGTCTTTTGTGACAAATTTTACTCTTGTGATTAGGTTAGGTTACGCAGTATGTTTGACCTCAGATAGGGAGACTCTCCTGTCGGCTAACCTAGTCACATAAACCCTTCTCTGGCTCTGCTGGCCTAGAAGACAGCAGAGTGCCTGTAGTCAGTCAGTGAGGAGACATGTACCCTAGGCCCATGGCTACAAGGAACTGGATTCTGACACAAGAATAATGAGCTGGGAAGCAAATATTTACCTAGAGCCTTCAGAGGAAGACTCAGCCTGTCAACATCTTGATTTTATGTTTGTGTGACTCTGAGTAGAGAACCCAGCCATGCCATTGCAAAATTCTGAGCCACAGACCTGTGAGCTGGTGAAGTGTTGTTTTAAATCATAAGTGTGTGATAATTTGTTACACAGCGTTGAGAACTATTACACCTACATATCCTGGTATATATACACCTGGTATAATGTGTTCAAATTAAATTTGAAGAATACAAAGTCATTGCCAGTGGAAAAACTGGGTGAAAGAGGTGGTTCCTTCCATGAGACGGAGCAGTGTGTCATGCGGCACAAAGGACACTAACAAAACAGCATTTTTTCCAGAATTACAAAAAGCATAGAAAGAGCTCCTGACACCCTTCAGCCAGATTCTCCAATTTTTCACATTTTACCATATTTGCCTCATCATTCCTTCTCTCTGTAGATAGAGATGCAATTGTAAACACACACACACACACACACACACACAGGTCTTTTTTAATTCACAACACTTCTGACTCACACCAGTGTGTTGGTTTTTTCCACACCAACGACCAAGGGTTCTGCAACTCTCCAAACACAAACTGGGTGTCCAGTAACTCAGTCCTATTTTTGTTGTGGGTGAGCAGTGACTGCCTGGGCCGGTGGTGCAGGGGTAAAATAATTTATCAAGACAGTGGTAGGCAAAGAAAGGCAGATTTATTAGAGGAAGTAGGAAAATACGTTGTAAGAAAGCAACAGACAGAATCAGCAAGAGAGGAGCTGACTGCAAGGAGACAAAGGCTTGGTGGGGATTTTATAGAATAGTGTTTATGCTATAAGCTGAAGAAGGGTTTGTGCAGTGCTGAAAATGATGAGGTTCCAGTGAACTCGCTTGCAGGTATCCGGTGACAGTTGGGCACAGGAAGATCGTGAGTTATTTGCACAGGAGGGCCATGTGTCCTGGACCATGAAGAAAGGCAGACTTAGAGCTTATCTGTTTCCTCTTTTTGTTTTCCCTTGGTCCCACTAGCCCTTTCCCTAATGAAGACTCCATAATTCTGACATGAACTACCTGGAGTTAGCTGACCCCACAGGTTTAAGGGCTCAGTCCCACGAGATAGCCCCCAGTTCAGACTCCAGTTGCAAGAACCAGGTCCTCAGTTTGCCTACACTTCTGTCTACTTTAGCTACAAAATTGGGGTTCCCACACCCCCATTCAGGTTTAATAACTTGGTAGAATGACTTGCAGAACTTAGAAAAGTGCTTCACTTACTGTTACCAGTTAATTATAAAGGTTACAACTCAGGAGCAGCCTGAAGGAAGAGAGACATAGGGCAAGGTATGCGGGAAGGGCAGGGAACTTCCATGCCCTGTTTGGGCATCTCATCCTCTCACCATCTCCATGTATCCACCAGCCCTGAAGCTTTCTGAACCCCATAATTTGTTTTTATGGAGGCTCCATTACATAGGCACAACTGATTAAATCATTGGCTATTAGTTATTAACTCACCCTCCAGCCTTTCCTTCCTCCCTAAAGGTCAGGGGTGGGGACAAAGTTCCAAGTTTCTAATGAAGGCTTGGTCTTTTTGGCCACTAGCTCCAATCCTCAAGATATCTAGGAAGCCACCAAGAGTTGCCTCATTAGAATAAAAGATGCTTCACCCTCCATTCCAAGATGGCCGAGTAGGAACAACTCCGGTCTGCAGCTCCCAGCATGATTGACACAGAAGACAGGTGATTTCTGCATTTCCAACTGAGGTACTGGTTCATCTCATTGGGACTGGTTGGAAAGTGGGTGCAGCCCACAGAAGGCCAGCTGAAGCAGGTGGGGGCATTGCCTTACCCGGGAAGTGCAAGGGGCTGGGGGATTTCCCTTTCCTAGCCAAGGGAAGCTGTGACAGACTGTACCTGGAAAAACGGGACATTTCCGCCCAAATACTGTGCTTTTCCCATGATCTTAGCAACTGGCAGACCAGCAGATTCTCTCCCGTGCCTGGCTGGGTGGGTCCCATGCCCAGGGAGCCTTGCTTACTGCTAGTGCAACAGTCTGAGGTCAACCTGTGAGGCTGCAGCCTGGCAGGGGGAGGGGCATCCACCATTGCTGAGGCTTGAGTAGGTAAGCAAAGCGGCCAGGAAGCTCTAACTAGGTGGAGCCCACTGCAGCTCAGCAAGGCCTACTGCCTCTATAGACTCCACCTCTGGGGGTAGGTCATAGCTGAACAAAATGGAGCAGAAACTTCTGCAGACTTAAACGTTCCTGTCTGACAGCTCTGAAAAGAGCAGTGGTTCTTCCAGCATGGCGTTTGAGCACTGACAACAAACAGACTGCCTCCTCAAGTGGGTCCCTGATGCCTGTGTAGCCTAACTGGGAGACACTGCCCAGTAGGGGCCAACAGACACCTCATACAGGCGGGTGCCCCTCTGGGACAAAGCTTCCAGAGGAAGGATCAGGCAGCAATATTTGCTGTTCTGCAATATTTGCTGTTCTGCAGCCTCTGCTGGTGATACCCAAGCAAACAGGGTCTGGAGTGGACCTCCAGCAAACTCCAACAGACCTGCAGCTGAGGGACTTGACTGTTTGAAGGAAAACTAACATACAAAGGAATAGCATCAACATCAACAAAAAATACATCCACACCAAAACCTCATCTGTAGGTCACCAACATCAAAGACCAAAGGTAGATAAAACCACAAAGATGGGGAGAAACCAGAGCAGAAAAGCTGAAAATTCTGAAAACCAGAGGACCTCTTCTCCTCCAAAGGACTGCAGCTCCTCACCAGCAACGGAACAAAGTGGGATGGAGAATGACTTTGATGAGTTGACAGAAGTAGGCTTCAGAAGGTCGGTAATAACAAACTTCTTTGAGCTAAAGGAGCATGTTCTAAACCATTGCAAGGAAGCTACAAACCTTAAAAAAGGTTAGAAGAATGTCTAACTAGAATAAACTATGTAGAGAAGACCTTAAATGACCTGATGGAGCTGAAAACCATGGCATGAGAACTACGTGACGCATGCACAAGCTTCAATAGCTGATTCGATCAAGTGGAAGAAAGGATATCAGTGATTGAAGATCAAATTAATGAAATAAAGCAAGAAAACAAGTTTAGAGAAAAAAGAGTAAAAAGAAATGAACAAAGCCTCCAAGAAATATGGGACTATGTGAAAAGACCAAATCTATGTTTAATTGGTGTACCTGAAAGTGACGGGGAGAATGAAACTAAGTTGGAAAACACTCTTCAGGATATTATCCAGGAGAACTTCCCCAACCTAGCAAAGCAGGCCAACATTCAAATTCAGAAATACAGAGGACACGACAAAGATACTCCTCGAGAAGAGTAACCCCAAGACACATAATTGTCAGATTCAGCAAAGTTGAAATGAAGGAAAAAATGTTAAAGGCAGCCAGAGAGAAAGGTCGGGTTACCCACAAAGGGAAGCCCATCAGGCTAACAGTGGATCTCTTGGCAGAAACTCCACAAGACAGAAGAGAGTGGGGGCCAATATTCAACATTCTTAAAGAAAAGAATTTTCAACCCAGAATTTCATATCCAGCCAAACTAAGCTTCATAAGTGAAGGAGAAATAAAATCCTTTACAGACAAGAAAATGCTGAGAGATTTTGTCACCACCAGGTCTGCCATACAAGAGCTCCTGAAGGAAGCACTAAACATGGAAAGGAACAACCAGTACCAGCCACTGCAAAAACATGCCAAATTGTAAAGACCATCGATGCTATAAAGAAACTGCATCAACTGATGGGCAAAATAACCAGCTGACATCATAATGACAGGATCAAATTCACACATAACAATATTAACCTTAAATGTAAATGGGCTAAATACCCCAATTAAAAGACACAAACTGGCAAATTGGATACTCAAGACCCATCAGTGTGCTGTATTCAGGAGACCTATCTCATGTGCAAAGACACACATAGGCTCCAAATAAAGGAATGGAGGAAGATCTACCAAGCAAATGGAAAGCAAAAAAAAAGCAGGGGTTGCAATCCTAGTCTCTGATAAAACGGACTTTAAACCAACAAAAATCAAAAGAGACAAAGAAGACCATTACATAATGGTAAAGGGATCAATTCAACAAAAGAGCTAACTATCCTAAATATATATGCACCCAATACAGGAGCACCCAGATTCATAAAGCAAGTCCTTCCAGACCTACAAAGAGACTTGGACTCCCACACAATAATAATGGGAGACGCTAACACCCCACTGTCAATATTAGACAGATCAACCAGACAGAAGGTTAATAAGGATATCCAGGACTTGAACTCAGCTCTGCACCAAGCAGACCTAATTGACATCTACAGAACTCTCCACCCCAAATCAACAGAATATACCTTCTTCTCAGGACCACATCGCACTTATTCCAAAATTGACCACAGAGTTGGAAGTAAAGCACTCCTCAGCAAATGTAAAAGAACAGAAATCACAACAAACTGTCTCTCAGACCACAGTGCAATCAAATTAGAACTCAGGATTAAGAAACTCATTCAAAACTGCACAACTACATGCAAACTTAACAACCTGCTCCTGAACGACTACTGGGTAAATAACAAAATGAAGGCAGAAATAAAGAGTTCTTTGAAACCAATGAGAAAAAAGACACAACGTACCAGAATCTCTGGGACACATTTAAAGCAGTGTGTAGAGGGAAATTTATAGCACTAAATGTCCACAAGAGAAAGCAGGAAAGATCTAAAATCGACACCCTAACATCACAATTAAAAGAACTAGAGAAGCAACAGCAAACACATTCAAAAGCTAGCAGAAATAACTAAGATCAGAGCAGAACTGAAGGAGACAGAGACACAAAAAGCCCTTCAAAAAATAATGAATCCAAGAGCTGGTTTTTTGAAAAGATCAACAATATTGATAGACTGCTAGCAAGACTAATAAAGAAGAAAAGAGAGAAGAATCAAATAGACGCAATAAAAAATGATAAAGGGGATATCACCACCGATCCCACAGAAATACAAACTACCATCAGAGAACACTATAAACACCTCTATGCAAATAAACTAGAAAATCTGGAAAAAATGGATGAATTCCTGGACACATACACCCTCCCAAGACTAAACCACGAAGAAGCAGAATCTCTGAATAGACCAATAACAGGATCTGAAATTGAGGTAATAAGTAATAACCTTCCAACCAAAAAAAGTCCAGAACCAGACAGATTCACAGCCAAATTCTACCAGGGGTACAAAGAGGAGCTGGTACCATTCCTTCTGAAACTATTCCAATCAATAGAAAAAGAGGGAATCCTCCCTAACTCATTTTATGAGGCCAGCATCATCCTGATACCAAAGCCTGGCAGAGACACAACAAAAAAAGAGAATTTTAGACCAATATCCCTGATGAACATCGATGCAAAAATCCTCAATAAAATACTGGCAAACTGAATCCAGCAGCACATCGAAAGGCTTATCCACCATGATCAAGTCAGCTTCATCCCTGGGATGCAACGCTGGTTCAACATACGCAAATCAATAAACGTAATCCATCACATAAACAGCACCAATGACAAAAACCACATAATTATCTCAATAGCTGCAGAAAAGGCCTTTGACAAAATTCAACAGCCCTTCATGCTAAAAACTCTCAATAAACTAGGTATTGATGGAACGTATCTCAAAATAATAAGACAAACCCACAGCCAATATTTATGACAAACCCACAGCCAATATCATACTGAATGGGAAAAAACTGGAAGCATTCCCTCTGAAAACCAGCACAAGACAAGGATGCCCTCTCTCACCACTTCTATTCAACATAGTGTTAGAAGTTTTGGTCAAGGCAATCAGGCAAGAGAAAGAAATAAAGGGTATTCAATTAGGAAAAGACGAAGTCAAATTGTCCCTGTTTGCAGATGACATGATTGTATATTTAGAAAACCCCATCATCTCAGCCCAAAATCTCCTTAAGCTGATAAGCAACTTCAGCAAAGTCTCAGGGCACAAAATCGATGTGCTAAAATCACAAGCATTACTATACATCAATAACAGACAAACAAAGAGCCAAATCATGAGTGAACTCTCATTCACAATTGCTACAAAGAGAATAAAATACCTAGGAATCCAACTTATAAGGGATGTGAAGGACTTCTTCAAGGAGAACTACAAACCACTGCTCAACGAAATAAAAGAGGACACAAACAAATGGAAGAACATTCCATGCTAATGGATAGGAAGAATCAATATCGTAAAAATGGCCATACTGCCCAAGGTAATTTATAGATTCAATACCATCCCCATCAAGCTACCAATGACTTTCTTCACAGGATTGGAAAAAACTGCTTTAAAGTTCATATGGAACCAAAAAAAAGCCCACATTGCCAAGACATTCCTAAGCAAAAAGAACAAAGCTGGAGGCATCAAACTATACTACTGACTTCAAACTATACTACGAGGCTACAGTAACAAAAACAACATGGTACTGGTACCAAAACAGATATATAGACAAATGGAACAGAACAGAGGCCTCAGAAATAACACCACACATCTACAATCATCTGATCTTTGACAAACCTGACAAAAACAAGAAATTGGGAACAGATTCCCTATTGATTAAATGGTGCTGGGAAAACTGGCTAGCCATATGTAGAAAGCTGAAACTGGATCCCTTCCTTACACCTTATACAAAAATTAATTCAAGGTGGATTAAAGACTTAAATGTTAGACCTGAAACCATAAAAACTCTAGAAGAAAACCTAGGCAATACCATTCAGGACATACACATGGGCAAGGACTTCATGACTAAAACACCAAAAGCAATGGCAACAAAAGCCAAAATAGATGAATGGGATCTAATTAAAGAGCTTTTGCACAGCAAAAGAAACTACCATCAGAGTGAACAGGTAACCTACAGAATGGGAGAATATTTTTGCAATCTACCCATCTGACAAAGGGCTAATATCTAGAATCTACAAAGAACTTAAACAAATTTTCAAGAAAAAAACAAACAAACCCATCAAAAAGTGGGCAAAGGATGTGAACAGACACTTCTCAAAAGAAGACATTTATGCAGCCAGCAGACACATGAAAAAATGCTCATCATCACTAGTCATCAGAGAAATGCAAATCAAAACCACAATGAGATACCATCTCACACCAGTTAGAATGGCAATCATTAAAAAGTCATGAAACAACAGATGCTGGAGAGGATGTGGAGAAATAGGAACACTTTTACACTGTTGGTGGGAGTGTAAATTAGTTCAACCATTGTGGAAGACAGTGTGACGATTCCTCAAGAATCTAGAACTAGAAATACCATTTGACCCAGTGATCCCATTACTGGGTATATACCCAAAGTATTATAAATCATGCTACTATAGAGACACATGCACAAGTATGTTTGTTGCGGCACTATTCACAATAACAAAGACTTGGAACCAACCCAAATGTCCATCAATGATAGACTGGATTAAGAAAATGTGGCACATATACACCATGGAACACTATGCAGCCATAAAAAATGATGAGTTCATGTCCTTTGTAGGGACATGGATGAAGCTGGAAACCATCATTCTCAGCAAACTATCACAAGGACATAAAAGCAAACACCGCATGTTCTCACTCATAGGTGGGAATTGAACAATGAGAACACTTGGACACAGGGAGGGGAACATCACACACCAGGGCCTGTCGTGGGGTGGGGGGCTGGGGGAGGGATAGCATTAGGAGAAATACCCAATGTAAATGATGAGTTAATGGGTGCAGCAAACCAACATGGCACATGTATAACTACGTAACAACCCTGCACATTATGCACATGTATCCTAGAACTTAAAGTATAATAATAAAAAAAGAATATATTATATACTTGTAAATTGCCAAGAGAGTAGATTTTAAGGAGTTTAAGTGTTCTCATCACAAATTATGTTTGAGGTAATGGAAATGTTAAATAGCTTGATTTATCCATTGCACCAACACTATATTGTACAATGTAAGTATATATAATTTTGACTTACCTAATAAATAATTTTTTGAAAAGAATAAGATACATCTATATGCGCTGACATAAAAGAATAGACATGATATATTGTTGAGTGAAAATAAGTGGCATATAAATTTTTGTCTGATATAAATTTTTAAAATCATGCAGTTTAATTTATTCCTTCCATAGACAAGTGAATAACATGGAAAAAGGTTGAGAAACATTGCATGGAGTATTTATTTTTGGTTCCCAATAATTTCCTTGCTACTCCAAATAAAGAACTGTTTTTTTCAGAATCACCTCAACTATGTTCAACTTCTATCTTGTTAGATGGGGGAGAGCAGCCACCCTCACTCTTGGGTGAGGGAGGCTCACTCAGGGATCACTGTCCTTCGCTGCCTTGTGTTCAGTCTAGAGAGTCTAAGTAATGTTTCTGAGGACACATAGCTTATAAGACACAAAGCGATACTAGACTCAGGTCTGTCTGTTTCAAGGACCCACAATTGTAATCTTCACACCATAAAGCCAATGAGAGTGTATTTCAACAAAAAAAGAAATCATATAATCAAGTCTCTATAAATGCCCTTAACTAAGATTTTCAGCCCACTGTGTCACCATGGAACTCACTCTTAATTCTTGGATACAGGACAAAAACCAAGGTGAATCACTGACTTACTTGCTTCCTCCGTATGAACAGCTATTGTAGGCAGCAGGAGTAATATGGTGATAGGCCTGCATTGCAATAGCAAGGTCAGCAGTTGCTATTAAATCTTGACAGACCCCACTGTGGGACAAAAAGCATGCTTGCCACGCCAAGACTAGATAAGATCCAGAAAAACCCCAGTGTCCACCTATGTTCTAGACTGAAGTCCACAGATCTGGTCCACAAGTCTCAGAAGGCTTCATCTTATCCCTGAAGCTTTCTAATTATAGTCTTTTCCAATCAGGGTCCCAAAAGAGAATTAGCCTACAGACAAGTGATTTCGTTGACTAATTCTCCATTTCCCAAGAATGCAACATAGCTAGTACCATTGTAGATGGAGAGGAGATAAGCTAATTTGTTACATGTTTGGTTGCCTTAATGGACTGGAGCTTTATTCTATCAGTAATCCTTACTGAGAAAGGTCAATTGAAGTTTCCAATCTAACTTGGTTTATGGTGGGAGTACACAAGGTAGATGTGGAGTCTTCTGCTTTATCTGGGAAGAAATATCTGGCTGTATTTGAATGGGCACTGAACCTGAGCCCCATGAGCCCAGTAAAAGAGTGTGGCCTCATCTGGGCTGGGCTAGACATGCCCCTTTCCCAACCAGCCCTTCCTGAATCATTGGGTGAGGATGCTTATCCAGGCCAGCAGAAGACTCAGGGTTATTTTGGGAAGGACAGACACACATCCTTGTCCTGAGATAGGGCAGGCTATGATCACCGGAATGCAAACGTTAAACTTGTCACTTCCAAGATGTGCTCAACTCTCCTCCTCCCGCTGAAATTCAGTTCCCATAAATGGACAGAGAGCTAATTTCCCTTGGCTTCATCTCAAGACCAGGTCACTATGTTCCCAAAGTCTAGCTTAGCTCAAATGTCTTTACCTACTAAGGTTATTTTTCTGCTGCTGTGGTGGAATTGCTATTTTCAGTAGCTGAGAAAAATTCAATATTTATTTTTCTTGGTGGGAAATCCACAGTGAAGTAGGTGGTTCCTGGAAGCTGTTTATTCCCCCTATTGCATTGTCTTGAGCAAATGACCATGATTAATAATATTTAAAGGGATTAATCTCATTCTGCAGGAGGCAAGCAGTAGAGCAGATAGATATAAATAGAAATATTGAAACAGATATAAATATAGATATCTCTTGCCCATTTTAATTCTACATATTTACAGCTTCAGGGCATAATACAAATGGACAAAGAACCTAGCCAGCAGAAACCGAATAAAATTCCAACAGGGAGATTTATTACTGCCTCTGGAAGTAAATCATAGTTGATATTCTGGACTGAGTTTACTCTGAGCATGTGATCTTACTCAATCAGATCATGCTAAATATAGACTTGGAGAGGACTCATGGCAGAACGTTGACTGAGGCCATAAGCTGCCATCTGGATTTTTTGTATCTTTTTTCAGAAAACAGTGAATTCACCCCGGCATTCAGCTTCCGTAAGATCAAGCACAGAGGTCATCTGCTGCGGATTTGTAGAGGAAAGTTCACACTGCTGTGAAAATATATTCCCAGTTATATTTGAATTTCTAGTTTTAGGACAAAATTCTGCTATCTTTTTACAAAAAGCCCCCCCTCCCCTTACACCCCATAACACGCCACTCTTTATAGGATTGTCACTCATGATTATGATGACAGGAAGCATTGATGATGACTCATTGATTTTTTTCTATATGCCCCGAGAAGTTGGTGTGATCTTTCTGGAAAAGAAGACCTTCTTTGACACATAATGTTTATGAAAATATCAGAGGTTCAGGTTGGGTAATCTGTCTCAAACTCTCCCTCAAGCCCCTCTACTCCCTCTAGGAAGAACACAACACGAATCCTGCAGGATGACTGAAAACTCCTCTGTTGATCAGGGCATTCAGCAAGCAAGTCTGCACAGCCCTGCTCACAGTCACTCCACTCTGAAACCAGTTCTGCTTTGGGAAAATATTTCCTGGGTTTAACAAAGTCCCTTATGCTGACACCTGTGTATTTTTCTTTATTCTGCTTTAATGTGATGTATAACTTTAGAATCATAGAGCACTAGTGCTTTAACGGAGTTTAGAGCCTAGCCTTAGAATTTAACAGGAACAAAAGCTTGGGCCCAGAAAGCGTGGGTTCCCATAGCTAGTTAGTAGAATAGAGGCTTGGTCTCCTCAGCCTGCAGGGATTTCTTTTCTACCATTAATGGCTGTATTTGAAGATGTATTTAAATCCCTCCTCAGCCTCCATTTTTCAAGTTGAGATGTTCTTTAGTCTCCCAATAAGTATAATTTTCCGAACGTTAGATTCTTTTCTCATATTTTCTCCTTTCTCCATGTGCACATTAAATTATGGTGCCCTGTGCTGGTCTCAGAATAAGTAGCAGACTTTAACTAGTACTGTCTGGGATAGTATTATAATTCATAATAATCCATTGACTATGTAGAAATAGTTCTTAAGTTCTTAATTCATAACATGTCAGACAGTGATATATACCCTGAGGATATAGAAATGAATAACAATAAGGTTCATTCTTCAAGGACCTTGAAGTCATGCAGGGGAGATGTGTATTGAGTGGTTGACCATAGCTAGGTAGGAGGTAGGAGGTAGGAGGTGTTCATGTGTGTTTGGGAGAAGTGTTGGGGCACAAAAGAGGGTGTCCTTATATGTATAGGATTTTAAGAGAAATTTTAAGTCATTTTTTAGCCAAAAGTGGGGTGTTTTAGCTGGATCTGAAAGAATCCAGCAATGTTTAAGAATTGAAATAATGCTGTTACTATTATTTGTGTATATGTTCGTGTATCTTGGGTATTATTCGGAGTCATGGGATCACATCAGTTACGGAAAGATCACTTTGGTTGCAATGTGGATAACGGATTGAAGGGGAAAAAAAGAAGAAAATTCACTTAGGAGCCTAAAGTAACATTCCAGGAAACAGATGGTACAGATTTCGGCAGAGCTGTGACAGAAGACTAATCCTCAGGATTTAGTGACCTCTTGAATGCTGATTGTTGAGGAAGAGGTCAGCAGTGATTTCCAAGGTTGTGCTTTGGACAACTGGGTTGGACTATTTAATAATAATAGGCTTGTGGTTATTCTTTTAAATTATCAAATAATCATGGAATAGTAGAAGGTTTTGGGTGGAAGATAAGGAGTCCAATTCTAGCCACGTGGAACTTGAACAACTTGGAATTATCCAGTTTGCATTATCCAGTGGGCAAAAGGATACATGGGTCTGGAGGGCAGGGGAGGATCCTGGGATATGATATAAGGTGGCAGTTAAACCAAAATGTGGATTACTGTATTCAGGCAGATGTTAGAGTATGAACAGAAGAAGGTCACTTGTCAAAGAGTAGGCAGGAAGCCTCATGAAGGAGACTGGAAAGAAATGTTTGGAAGGCATGAGGAGAACCAGAAGCATGTGGCCAACAGGCCTCATGTCCTTGAGGGATCAAGTGACAGAAAGATTAAAATCTATTAAATTCTGCAGTGAACTTATAATTGGTGATCTTAGGGCAATTTATTGGGGTGTGGAAAGCTCTGAATCCAGAATGCAACACACCGAGGAATCAGTTTCTTCCTTTATTTAATTAATTAATTTATTTTTTTGAGACGGAGTTTCGCTCTTGTTGCCCAGGCTGGAGTGCAGCAGCGCGATCTTGGCTCACCGCAACCTCCACCTCCCAGGTTCAAGCGATTCTCCTGCCTCAGCCTCCCGAGTAGCTGGGATTATAGGCATGTGCCACCACACCTGGATATTCTTCCTTTATTCTATTGATATGCTGTGTTACTTTGACTGATTTTTATATGTTGGAACCACTTTCACATTCCTGGGATTACTCTCACTTGGACATAATGTATAATATCTTTAATATACTCCTGGATTCAGTTTGCTAGTATTTTTTTTTTTTTGGCGGGGTAGAATGCAGTCTCACTCTGTCACCCAGGCTAGAGTGCAATGGTGCCGTCTTGGCTCATTGCAACCTCTGCCTCCCAGGTTCAAGAGATTCTCATGTCTCAGCCTCCCGAGTAGCTGGGATTACAGGCATGTGCCACCACACCAGGCTAATTTTTGTATTTTTAGTAGTGATGATGTTTCACCATGTTGGTCAGGCTGGTCTCGACCTCCTGGCTTCAAGTGATATGCCTGCATTGGCCTCCCAAAGTGCTGGGATTACAGGTGTGAGCCACTGTGCCCAGTCTTCAGTTTGCTAGTATTTTGTTGAGTGTTTTGGCATCTACATTCATAAGAGACTTTGGTTTATAGTTTTCTTGTGATGTCTTTATCTGGTTTTGGTATCATGGTAATGCCGACCTCATGGAGTGAGTTAGGAAGTTTTCTCAATTCTATTTTTTTGGAAGAGTCTAAGAAGCATTTCTACTAATTCTTAAAAATTTGGTAGAATTCACCATCTGGTCCTGGGGTTTTCTTTATTGGAAGCTTTTGGAGGGTTGACTCAATCTCTTTATTTGTTATAGGTCTATTCAGATTGTCTGTTTCTTCCTGAGTCAATTTTGGTAGCTTGTGTGTCTCCAGAAATTGTCCATTTCATCTAAATTGTCTAATTTGTTGGCATACAATTGTTCACGGTATTGTTTTACAATGCTTTTAATTTCTCTATATCGTTAGCAACATCTCCTTTGTTCCTGATTTTAATAGTTTAAGTCTACTCTTTTTCTTTTTTCTTGGTTAGTCTAGCCAAAGTTTTCTCAACATTGTTGATCTTTTCAAATAACTATGTTATGTTTTATTAATTTTTTCCATTGTCATTCTATTCTCTACTTCATTTATCTCTCCTCTAATGTTTATTTTTTTCCTTCTTCTTGCTTAGGTTTAGTTTGCTCTTCTTTTTCTATAGTTTTTTAAAAAAACTTTTATTTTAGGTTTAGGGGTATATGTGCAGGATTGTTATATAGGTAAACTGTGTGTCATGGGGGTTTGGTGTACAGATTATTTAGTCACTCAGGTAATAAGTATAATACTCAATAGGCATTTTTTCTTGATCCTCTTCCTCCTTCCACCCTCCACCCTCAAGTAAGCCCTGGTGTCCAGTTGTTCTCTTCTTTGTATCCTTGTGTTCTCATTGGTTAGCTCCCACTTATAAATGAGAATATACACTATTTGGTTTTCTGTTTCTGCATTAGTTTGCTTATGATGATGATCTCCAGCTCAATTTATGTTGTTGCAAAGGGCATAATCTCATTCTTTTTTATGGCTGTGTAGGATCCCATGGTATATATGTACCACTTTTCTTTATTCAGTCTACTGTTGATGGGCATTTAGGTTGATTCCATGTCTTCGTTGTGAACAGTGCTGCGGTAAACATATGTGTGCCTGTGTCACTATGGCAGAACAAATTGTATTCCTTTCGATATATATCCAACAATACGATTGCTGGGTTGAATGGTAATTCTGTTTTCAGTTCTTTGAGAAATTGCCACACTGCTTTCCACAATGACTGAACTAGTTTACACTTCCACCAGCAGTGTTTAAGTGTTCCCTTTACTCTGCAACTTCACCAACGTCTGTTATTTTTTGGCTTTTTAATAATGGCTATTCTGTCTGGTGTGAGATGATATCTCGCTGTGGTTTTGATTTGCATTTCTCTAATGATTAGTGATGTTGAGCATTTTTTCATATGCATGCTGGCTGCATACATGTCTTTTTGTGAAAAGAGTCTGTTCATCTTCTTTGCCCACTTTTTAATGGTATTGTTTGTTTTTTGCTTGTAAATTTGTTTAAGTTCCTTATGGATTCTGGATATGAAACCTTTTTTAGATGCATAGTTTGCAGATATTTTCTCTCATTCTGTAGGTTGTCTATTTACTCGGTTGATAGTTTCTTTTGCTGTGCAGAAGCTCTTTAGTTTGATTAGGTCCCATTTGTCAGTTTTTGGTTTCTTTGTAATTGCTTTTGATGTCTTTGTCATGAAATCTTTGCCAGGTCCTGTGTCCAGAATGGCATTGCCTAGATTTTCTTCCAGGGTTTTTATAGTTTCGGGTTTTACATTAAGTCTTTAATCAATCTTAAGTTAATTTTTGTATATGGTTTAAGGAAGGGGTCCAGTTTCAATTTTCTGCATATGGCTAGCTAGTTATCCCAGCACCATTTATTGAATAGAAAATCCTTTCCCCATTGCTCATTTTTGTTGGCCTTGTTGAAGATCACATGGTTGTAGGCAACCAGCATTATTTCTGGGCTCTCTATTCTGTTCCATTGGTCCATATATCTATTTTTGTACCAGTACCATGTTGTTTTGGTCACTGTAGCCTTTGAAGTCAGGTAACGTAGCCGGGCGCGGTGGCTCACGCCTGTAATTGAACACTTTGGGAAGCTGAGGCCGGCAGATCACCTGTGGTCAGGAGTTCCAGAACAGCCTGGCCAACATGGTGAAACTCTGTCTCCAGTAAAAATACAAAAATTAACTCGGCGTGGTGATGCATGCCTGTAACCCCAGCTACTCCAGAGGTTGAGGCAGGAGAATCGCTTGAACCCTGGAGGCGGAGGCTGCAGTGAAACGAGATCACTCCACTGTACTCCAGCCTGGGTGACAGAGTAAGATTCTGTCCCCACCCCCCAAACCCCCCATCCCAAAAAATAGGAAAAGGAAAAATGAAGTCAGGTAACGTGATGCCTCCTGCTTTGGTCTTTTTTTTTTTTTTTTTTTTTAAGGATTGACTTAAAGAGCTATTCAGGCTCTTTTTTGGTTCTATATGAATTTTAAAATAGTTTTTTCTACTTCTGTGAAGAATATCATGGTAGTTTGATAGGAATGGTATTGAATCTGTAAATTACTTTGGACAGTACGGCCATTTTAATGATATTGATTCTTCCTATTGATGAGCACAGCATGTTTTTCCATTTGCTTGTGTCACCTCTGATTTCTTTGAGCAGTGTTTTGGTATGCTGTGTTTTTGTTTTAATTCACCTGAAAATATGTTTTAGTTTCCCCTGTGATGTCCTCTTTGACTCATCAGTTATTTAGGAGTGTTTAATTTCCACTCTTTGTGAATTTTCTTCTATTAATGCTTTCTAATTTCATTCCATTGTTGGAGAATATACTTGGCATAATTTTTATATTTTTATATTTGTTGAGATTTGTTTTTCTGGACTAATGTATGGTCCATTCTGGAAAATAGTTCACTTGAGAAGAATGTGTATTCACCTGTTGTTGGGTGGAGTGTTCTACAGATGTCTGCTGGATTTCATTGGCTTATAGTGTTGCTCAAGTTTTCTATTTTCTTTTTGATTTTCTATCTAGTTTTTCTAGACATCATTGAAAATTGGTATTAAAGTCTTCAACTATTATTGTTAAACTCTATTATTTGGCCTTCAATTGTGTCAATTTTTTCTTTGTGTATTGTGGAGCTCTGCATTTAGGTGAATATATGTTTATAAGTGTTATACTTTATTAATGAATTGACCCTTTTATATTAATAATTATATAATGCCCTTTTTGTCTCTTTAACAATTTTTATATTGAAGTCTATTTTGTTTGATATGAGTATAGCCATTCCAGCTCTCCTTTGATAACTACTTGCATAGAATGTTTTTTCAACATTTTCCTTTCAACCTACTTATGTCTTTAAATCTAAAGTGAATTCTTGTAGACAGAATATAATTGAACCACGTTTTAAAAATAATCCATTCTGGCTGGGTGCTGTGGCTCACACCTGTAATCCCAGCACTTTGGGAGGCCGAGGCAGATGGATCACGAGGTCAGGAGTTCGAGACCAGCCTGACCAAAATGGTGAAACCCTGTCTCTACTAAAAATACAAAAATTTGCCAGGTCCGGTGGTGTGCACCTGTAATCCCAGACACCCAGCAGGCTGAGGCAGGAGAAAGACTTGAACCCAGGAGGCAGAAGTTGCAGTGAGCCAAGTCTGCACCACTGCACTCCAGCCTGGGCAACAGAGCGAGACTCCATCTCAAAAAAAAAAAAAAATCATTCTGCCAGCCTATGCCATTTAATTGGATAGTTTAATCCATTTGTACTTAATATAATTACTGATAAGGGAAGACTTCTGCCATTTTGCTATTGGTTTTCTATATCTTACATCTTTTTTTCTTCCTCATTTCCTTCATTATTTCTTTTTTTTGTTAAATAGGTATTTTCTTGTGTACCATTTTATTCCCTTGTCACTTCTTTTACAATGTTTTAAAATTTATTTTGTTAGTGGTTACCTTGGAAATTACAATTAACATTTTAATTTATAATAATTTATTCAGATTAATAACAACTTAATTTTCAATAGTATACCAAAACTTAGCTCTTATACGGCTCCATTTCCTCTCCTTTTATAATATTCTCACAAATTATGCCTTTATACATTGCATGCTCAACAACATATATTTATAATTACTGCTTTATGCAATTGTCTTTTAAATTATATAGGAGAAACAGGGGTTACAAACAAGAACTACATTAACACTGTCTCTCATATTATCTATGTAGTTACTTTTACTGGTGTTCTTTATTTCTTCATAATATTTAACTTACTGTTTAGTGTCATTTTATTTCAGCCTTAGGACTCTTTCAGAATTTCTTGTAGGACAGGTCTGCTAGTGACAAACTCAGTTTTTGTATATTAGAATGTTTTAATTTCTCTTTTATTAAAAAATAGAATTTACTTTTTAAGAAGTTTTAGGTTTACAGGCAAATTGAGTGGAAAATACAGAGATTTTTCTATTTACCCCCTCACTCCTTCACCCTTAGAATCCCCTATTATTAACATTTTGGATTACTGTGGTACATTTGTCACAATTGATGAGTAATATTGATACACATTATTATTAACTAAAGTCAGTAGTTCAGTTTACATTAGGGCTCATTCTTTGTGTTGCATATTCTATGGATTTTGACAAATATACAATACTTTATATTCACCATTACAGTATCATATATGATACTGTAATGGTGAATATAAAGATTCACCATTGTAATGGTGAATATAAAGATTCACATCCAGAATAGGTTTCACTGCCTTAAAATACCCTGCACTCTATTTATCCCTGTCTTTCTCCCCAAAGCCCTTACCACCACAGATTTTTTTACAGTTTATGCAGTTTTGCTGAATGTCATATAGTTGAAATCATACAGTCTGTAGCTGTTTCAGATTGATTTTTTTCACTTAATAATTGGTGCATTGCTTTTCTGAGACTATATTTCTATCTCCTGATTAAAGAACAGAGCTGGCTATATAATTTGTATTTAAGATTCCTCCATCTCTTTTCATGGCTCGACAGCTTATTCCATTTTATTGTTAAATAACATTCCACTGTATGGATATGCTGCAGTTTATTCACCTATTGAAGGACATCTTTGTTGCTTCCAACTTTTGGCAATTACAAATAAAGCTGCTATACATGTTTGTGAAGCACTTTCTGTGTAGACATTTTTCAATTCATTTGGGTAAATACCAAAAAATGTGACTACTGAATCATATGGTAAGAGTATGTTTAGTTTTGTATAAAACTGCCAATCTGTCTTTCAAAGTAACTGTACCATTTTGCATTCTCATGAGCAATAAATGAGACTTTCTGTTGTTCATTGCAACACATCCTTTCCAGCGTTTGTTTTTTTCACCAGTTTCACTGAGGTATAATTGACAAGTAAAATTGTATAAATTTAAGGAGTACAACATTGTGATTTGATATACATATATTATGAAATGTTTATCATAATTAAGTTAATCTTTTACCTCACCTAGTTATCTTTTTTCCAGAGGTTGTAGAACATTTCTGTGTAGTAGGACATTTAAGATCTATTCTCTTAGCAAATTTTTATTATAGGAAAAAATATTGTTAACTATAATCACTATGCTATTTTAAACTGATAACAACTTAACTGTGATTGCATACAAAAATTTATACTTTTACTTCTCCCCCTCACATTTTAGCTTACTGATGTTACAATTTATATCTTTTTACATTGTGTATCCAATAACAAATTATTGTAGTTACAGTTATTTTTAATATGTTTGTTTTTTAACTTTTATACCAGAAGTAAAAGTGATTTATGCATCATTATTACAATACTAGGGAATTCTGACATTGATTATATATTTACTTTTATAGTGAGTTTTATACATTCATATGTTTTTATGTTGTTAATTACTGTTCTTTTATTTCAGCTTGAAAAATTTTCTTTAGTGTTTCTTATACGGCAGTTCTGGTGGTGATAAACTCTTTCAGTTTTTATTTGTTTGGGAAATTCTTTATATCTTTTATTTCTGAAGAATAGCTTTTCCAGGTATAGTATTCTTGGTTCACAGTATTTTTTCTTTCACTATTTTGAATATATCATCCAACTTCCTCCTGGCCTAGAAGGTTTCTGTTAAGAAAATCTACTGGTAGTCTTAAGGGGTCTCACATGTATGTAATGAGTTGCTTCTCTCTTGCTGCTTTTAAGTTTCTCTTTGTCTTTGACTTTTGACAACTTAATTATAATGTGTCTTGGCGTACGCTTTTTGAGCTCAACCTATTTGGAGACTTTTGGGCCTCATGAGTGTGGATGTTCATTTTTCTTCTCAAATTTTAGAAGTTTTCAGCCATTTTTTTGGTCCAATTAACACTTTGTAAATTTTTTATTTTTTTAATTAAGTTCTGGGGTACTTGTGTAGGATATAGAAGTTTGTTACATAGATAAACATGTGCCATGGTGGTTTGCTGCACCTTTCAACCCATCACCTAGGTATTAAGCCCAGCATGCATCAGCTCTTTTCCCTAATGCTCTCCCACCCCTGCCCTCCCCCAACGGGCCCCAGTAAATGTTCTTCCCCTCCCTGTGTCCATGTATTCTCATTGTTCAGCTCCCACTTATAAGTGAGAACATGCAGTGTTTGGTTTTGTGTTCCTGCATTAGTTTGCTGAGGATAATGGCTTCCAACTTCATCGATGTCCCTGCAAAGGACATGATCTCATTCTTTTTTATGGCTGGATAGTATTCCATGGTGTATATGTACCACATTTTCTTTATCCAGCTATCACTGATGGGCATGTGGGTTGATTCCATGTCTTAGCTATTATGAATAGTGCTGCAATGAACATACATGTGCATGTATCTTTATAATAGAATTATTTATATTCCTTTTGGTATATACCCAGTAATGGGGTTGCTGGGTCAAATGGTATTTCTGGTTCCAAATCTTTGAGGAATCATCACACTGTCTTTCACAATGGTTGAACTAATTTGCAGTCCCACCAACAGTGTAAAAGTGCTCCTATTTCTCCACAACCTCACAGCATCTGTTGTTTCCTGACTTTTTAATAATCATCATTCTGACTGGTGTGAGATGGTATCTCACTGTGGTTTTGATTTGCATTTCTCTAATGATCAGTGATGTTGAGTTATTTTTCTTTCTTTTCTTAAACAGTTTAATTTCTGGGATACATGTGCAGAATGTGTAGGTTTGTTACATAGGTTTTCATGTGCCATGGTGGTTTGCTGCACCTTTCAACCTGTCATCTAGGTTTTAAGCCCCACATGCATTAGGTATTTGTCCCAATGCTCTCCCTCCCCTTGTCCCCCAGCCCCTGATAGGCCCCAGTGTGTGTCGTTCCTCTCCCTGTGTCCAAGTGTTCTCATTGTTCAACTCCCACTTATAAGAACATGTGGTGTTCGGTTTTCTGTTCCTGTGTTAGTTTGCTGAGGATGAGGGCTTCCAGCTTCATCCATGTCCCTGCAAAGGACATGATCTCATTCCTTTTTATGGCTGCATAGTATTCCATGGTGTATATGCACCACATTTTCTTTATTCAGTCTATCACTGGTGGACATTTGGGTTGGCTCCATGTCTTTGCTATTAACTAGTGCTGCAGTAAGCACACGTGTGCATGTGTATTTATAGTAGAATGATTTATATCACTTTGGGTATGTATCCAGTGATGAGACAGCTGGGTCAAATGGTATTTCTGGTTCTAGATTCTTTTTTTTTTTTTTGAGACGGAGTCTCACTCTGTTGCCCAGGCTAGAGTGCAGTGGCGCGATCTCGGCTCACTGCAAGCTCTGCCTCCTGGGTTCATGCCATTCTCCTGCCTCAGCCTCCCAAGTAGCTGGGACCACAGGCGCCCAACACCACGCCTGGCTAATTTTTTTTGTATTTTTAGTAGGGATGGGGTTTCACTGTGTTAGTCAGGATGGTCTCAATCTCCTGAACTTGTGATCCACCTGCATTGGCCTCCCAAAGTGCTGGGATTACAGGCATGAGCCACCGTGTCTGGCCTGTAGATTCTTGAGGAATCACCACACTGTCTTCCACAATGGTTGAACTAATTTACATTCCCACCAACAGCATAAAAGTGTTCCTATTTCTCCACAGCCTTGCCAGCATCTATTGTTTCTTGACTTTTTAATAATTACCATTCTGACTGACATGAGATGGTATCTCACTGTGCTTTTCATTTGCATTTCTCTGATGATCAGTGATGTTGAGCTGTTTTCATATGTTTGTTGACTGCATAAATGTCTTCTTTTGAGAAGTATCTGTTCATATTCTTTGCCCACTTTTTAATTGGGTTGTTTGTTTTTTTCTTGTAAATTTGATTAAGCTCCTCATAGATTCTGGATAGTAAACCTTTTTCAGATGGATAGATTGCACACATTTTTTTCCCACTCCGTAGGTTGTCTGTTCACTGTGATGATAGTTTCACTTGCTATGCAGAAGCTCTTTAGTTTAATTAGATCCCATTTGTCAATTTTTGCTTTTGTTGCAATTGCTTTTGGTGATTTCATCATAAAATCTTTGCCCATGCCTATGTCCTGAATAGTATTGCTCAAATTTTCTTCTAGGATTTTTATAGTTTTGGGTTTTAAATTTAAGTCTTTAATCCATCTTGAGTTAATTTTTGTATAATGTGTAAGGAAGGGATCCAGTTTCAATTTTCTGGATATGGTTTTGGCCTTATTTATTTATTTATTTATTTATTTTTGAGACAGAGTCTCACTCTGTCACCCAGGCTGGAGTGCAATTGCATAATCTCGGCTCACTGCAACCTCTGCCTTTCAGATTCAAGCGGTTCTCCTGCCTCAGCCTCCCAAGTAGCTGGGACTACAGGTGAGCACCACCATGCCTGGCTAATTTTTGTATTTTTAGTAGAAATGGGGTTTCACCAGGCTGGTCTTGAACACCTGACCTCAAGTGATCCTCCTGCCTTGGCCTCCCAAAGTGCTGGGATTACAGGTGTGAGCCACTGCAACTGGCCAGTCATTATTTTTAAAAACACATTCTGTCCTTTTCTCTCTCCATCTTCTCCTGGAATTTCTATAATGCAAATTTGTTTCTCTTGGTTGTGTCCCATAAATCTTGTAGGCTTTCTTCACTGCTTTTTGTTTTTTTTCCTTTTGCCCTCTGATCAGATCATTTCAAATGACCTATCTTCTTGTCTTCTGATTCTTTATTGTGCTTGATTGAGTCTGCTGTTGAAGTTCTCTATTGACCTTTTCAGTTCAGTCATTGCATTCCTAATCTGCGGGATTTCTATTTGGGATTTAAAAAAATTTATGTTGTCTTTTGTTTCTTTGTTGAACTACTCATTTTGTTCATGTGTTGTTTTTCTGAATATTGTTTAGCTATCTATTTATGTTTTCCTGTAGTTCATCAAACTTTCCTAAGAGGATTATTCTGAATTATTTGTTAGACTGTCTATAGATCTCCATCCCTTTCAGGTATTGGAGCTTTATTAGTTTCCTTTGATGGTGTCATATTCCCTGACTCTTTCCAATTTTCATATTCTTGTGTTTGTTTCTGTGCATTTGTGGAAGTGCTTGCCTTGTCTGGCCTTTACAAATTCACTTTGGTAGGGATATACCTTAACCATTTGGTCCAACCTGGGGTCTGGACAGACCAGTTGGTAGTGTCACTGGGCAGGTGGGGCTTGCTGTTAATTCTCTAGCTGGGCAGGACCACTGTCTGTACTCTGAGCTTGGGTGGCTGCTGGATGGACTCTGAAGTCAGGTGGGTCTGCTAGCAGGGCTTGTAGTCAGGCAAGGCTGCTGGCTGGGCTCTGAGTTCAGGCAGGTTGCTGGCTGGGCTTCTTGGTTGTGTGGTGCCACTAACTGGGCTTCACAATTGCCGCTGGTTGTGGGGTTGCAGGCTGTGGTCCCTGGCAAGGTGATGCCAATGGTTGGACCCCACAATTAGGTGGAGTGTCTCAGCCTCACCCCTAGGCTCCGGGATTGTCACAAAGGTGTTCCTGTCTGTGAGTAGTTGCTAGTTGGACTTCGTGTGATGGGAAATAAAGCTGAAAACTTCCTATTCTGACATCTTACTGATGTCACTAACACCTTCAGTGTTTTTACTTTTAGCCATTCTAATAGATATGCAGTAGTATAGTATCTCATTGTTTTAATTGCTTTTTTTTTTTTTTTTTTTTGAGACAGAGTCTCACTCTGTCGCCCAGGCTGGAGTGCAATGGGGTGATCTCGGCTCACTGCAACCTCCGCCTCCTGGGTTCAAGAGATTCCCCTGCCACAGCCTCCTGAGTAGCTGGGATTACAGGTGCATGCCACCATGCCCGGCTAATTTTTGTATTTTTAGTAGAGACGGGGTTTCACCATGTTGGTCAGGCAGGTCTCAAACTCCTGACTTTGTGATCCGCCCGCCTCAGGCTCCCAAAGTGCTGGGATTACAGGCGTGAGCCACTGCGACTGGCCTTAATTGCTTTTTAAAAACTTCCTTAATGACATATAATGTTGGACATATTTTCATATGCTTATTTGCTATCTGTGTATCTTCTTCAGTGAAGTGTCTGTTCAGATCTGTGGCCTAATTTTCAGTTGGGTTGTTTATTGTCTCATTATTGAGTTTAAGAGGCCTTTGTATACTTTGGATACCAGTCCTTTAACAGATATATGTTTTGCAAATGTTTTTTCTAGTCTGTGATTTTTTTTATTGTCATGATCTTTTGCAAAGCTTATATTTTTGATTTTACTGAAGTCCAACTTATCAATGTTCTCTTTCATGGATTGTGTCTTTGGTGTGGCATCTAAACACTAAATCCAAGGACACTTAGGTTTTCTTCTATATTACCTTCTAGGAATTTTATAATTTAGCATTTTACAATTAGGCCTATGATCCATTTTGAGTTAATTTTTGTAAAAAGTGTAAGGCCTATGTCTGGATCCTTATTTTTCCTGTGAATGTCCTATTGTTTCAACCTAATTTGTTGAAAACACTATCCTTTCTTCACTGAAATGTTTTTGCTCCTTTGTTAAAGATCAGATGACTGTATTTACGTGGGTCTGTTTCTGGGATCTGGATTCTGTTCCACTGATCTATTTATTTCTTCTTCTGCCAATACCATATTGTTTTTATTACTTTAGCTTTATAGTAAGTCTTGAAATTAGTTTGTGTCCTTCAGCTTTGCTGTTTTATAATATTGTCTTGGCTATTCTGGGTCTCTTGCCCCTCCATATAAACTTTAGAGTCTTATTGTTATTATCCACACAATAGCTTGCTGAGATTGTAATTGGGATTATGTTGAATCTATAGATCAGTTGGGAAGAACTGACATTTTGACAATATTAAATCTTTCTATTTATGTACATGAAATATCTCTCCATTTATTTAGGTATTCTTTGACTTTCATCATAGTTTTGTAGTTTTTGTGCAATTCATATAGGTCTTGTACATATTTTGTTAGGTTTTGTTTTGAAAGCCCCTAGCTAAATTGGTGTTCCAGTACCACAGTGGCTAGTAACTCTACCCTAACAAGAAATGAAGGGTAGTAGATGGGGGTGTTTATAGTGTGCCTTTCATGCGATACTTATTTTACCTGGTAGACAGCCTAATGCCTCATTTTCTGACCTATGAACAGTGTCCCTCACACAGGAAACTTGTTTACCTTAGCAGATGACCTTGTGGTTCTTGTTTGACCTTGTCCAATTTATGCCTACCTGACTATTGCTTTGGTGCTGCGAGCCCAACCTTGTGTTCTCCTCAGTTTCCCATGGAAAACCCAGCCTGGGGTAGCCCTTGGTTCTTCAGATGGAAGGCACAAATTCAGATTGAAGGCTCATCTGCTTAAAGGAAGCAGCAGAAAAAACAGAGAGCCCAGGCTGCTAGGCAGGAGAGATACCTATAAGTTTTTATCTCTGGCCACTGGCTTGAGCAATTTGAGTGTGGTGTTCTATTTCTAATGCCTAAACATGGCAACCTTTGCTGTGCCATTTCCATTACAGATTTATACCCAAGGACTTCACTTTTTGATGATAATAAAAACAATATTGTGTTTTTAATATTCAATTTCAGTGTTCATTGTTGCTATGTAAGAAAGCAATTAACTTTTAAAAAAAATTATTACCTTGCATTCTGCAACTTGCCTGTAGGTTAATTCTCCTGTGGATCCTTGGCTGAGGAAAGCTGTGATGAGAAAGCCCTGGGAACTGAATTAGGTCTTCTGAGACTTCTGAGCCAGTCATTCATTCAACAGAAAATTATTTACCACTTCTCTATGACAAGGTACTGTGGGAGGCTATGGATGAAGGATTCCTACCCTGGAGAGGTGAATAGCACCATAGGCATTGCTAACGTCAAGTTTGCGCACGCTATCAGAGGGGAAGAGAAAGAATTTCCAGGTATGAGGGAAGACTCTTCTTCCTCTTAGATGTCTCACTAAGAGGAGAGCATAGTGGCCCCAGAAAATTAAGCTGACTGGGTGCCACTAGGAAGATATTTTCCTAGTCTGTATTTTCCAGGGCAGAACATTAAAAATTGTTTTCCTCCAATATATATTTTTATGGAAGACAAAGATCAGAATTATAATGACCAGAAGAGATGGTGAATTAGAATGAATCTCATCTTCAGTGCTATTGATTTTGTTCAGGAAGCTAACCTCCAGATAAGGGTCACAGTATGCCTTGGTAAGACATTGGAAATATCAATTCATTTAATGAGACACACAAGTTAGGAATAATTATGAAAATATATTTGCATAATGTGAAATAATCTTAAGTGCATGTGAAAATACATTCAAAATGCCACAAAGTATTAACTGAACATATTGTCTGTGTAGGTTTTTTTCTACTAGTCATTTGTTCTTTATTCATTTTGTTTTCTACCAGTTCTCAGTGGATAATTGGTACCAAGCTTCTAAATTTAAGAAAAATTTAGGAGAGAAAAACTTAAAATAAAGAAAATTTTATCCATATTGTATATGTATGAGTACTTGGTAAGAAATTGGCATAATTTAATTTTAGCAGCAGGACACCTTGTTCAGGATAGAGAGAAAGGGCTTTATTTGAAAACTACTAATCTGAAAATCATGGAGGAGGATCATGTAGGAAATTCTCCTGAAATGGCAGAAACCCTCTCTTTATCTCTTGCCTGCAAGTCATTCTTTATTCCATCCTATGGGGAACTTCATTCTGAACCCTCATTGCCTCACTCTGTAATGGAAAAGCAGAGGGGGAAAACCCAGTCAACTAAACGTTCAAGATCTGGTCTCAGCTGCATCATTACCTGGTTACTCTGGGCAAGTAAAAGATTGTTTTTGCTTCATTTTTCTCATCCACATAAAAGAAATAATACCTCCTTGCTGACATCACATTAATTTTTTCCATGAAAATAAAATGAACCAATGAATAAAGATGAATTAATTTGGCTGCTTGAGGATTACGTGTTCATTGTTCTATCTTTTCCTGGGTCATAAGATGATGAGTTCCTGATGGTAGACAGCCTCCATGGTGGTTCCCAACCTCCCAAGATTCCCACCTCCAAAGATTCATGCCCCTGTGGGTTACTTTCTGGATTGTTCTGTGTGACCAATAGAATATGGCAGGAGTGATGACATATCACTTTTTATTCTAGGCTATAAAAGACTCTGCTGCTTCTGTCTTGTTTTTTTTTTTCTCTCTCTCTTTCTGATCACTTGCTCTGGGAGAAGCCAGCTGCCATTTCATTAAAAGTCTATCATGTTAGTCTACTTGCATTGCTATAAAGAAAACCAGAGGCTGGGTAATTTATAAAGAAAAGATGTTTATGTAGCTCATGGTTCTGCAGGCTGTACAGGAAGCATGGTGCCAGCATCTACTTTTGGTGAGGGCCTCAGGGAGCTTCTGATTATAGCAGAAAGTGAAGGCGGGGGGCAACGTGTCACATGATGAGAGATGGAGCAAGAGACAAAAAGGGTGCCACACTCTTTTAAACAACCAGATCTTGTGTGAAATCAGAGTGAGAACTCACTCATTACTGTGAGGAGGACACTAAGCCATTCATGAGGGATCCAACCCCAAGATTCAAACCCTCCCACTAGGCCCACCTTCAACACTGGGGATCACATTTCAACATGGGAGGATTTGGAGGGGACAAACCATATCATTCTGCCCCCAGCCCTCCAAATCTCATGTTCTCTCACATGGCAGAAAACAATAATCCCTTCTCAATAGTCCCCCAAAGTCTTAACTTATTCCAGCATTAACTCAACAGTCTCAAGTTCAAAGTCCTAAGTCTCATCAGGGACTCAAGGCAAGTTTTTTTCTACCTATGAGCCTGTAAAATTATAAAAACAAGTTATTTACTTACAAGATACAATGATGGAACAGGTATTGGGTGAAGATTTCCATTCCAAAAGGAAAAAAATTGGCCAAAAGAAAGGGGCAACATGACCCACACAAGTCTGAAACCCAGCAGGAGAGACATTAAACCTTAAAGCTCCAACATAATCTTCCTTGACACCACGTCCAACATGCTGGGCACAGTGGTGCAAGGTGTGGGTTCCCAAGGCCCTAGTAGTTCTGCCACTGTGATTTTGCAGGGTGCAACCCCTCTGGCTGCTCTCATGGGTTGGAGTTGAATGCCTGGAGCTTTTCTAGGCTCTGGGTGTAAGCTGCTGATGGCTGTACCATTTTCCGGTCTGGAGGGCAGTGGCTGCTTTCTCACAGCTCCACTAACCAGTGTCCTGGTGGTGGAGACTCTGTGTGGGGGCTCCAACCCCATATTTCCCTTCAGCACTTCTTCAGTAGAGTCTCTCTGTGGGGTATCCACCCCTGTTGCAGGCATCTGCCTGGGCACTCAGGCTTTCCAATACATCCTCTGAAATCTAGGAGGAAGCTTCCAAGCCTCCTTCACTTCTGCATTCTGCACATCTGCAGGCTTAACACCATGTGGAAGCCACCAAGGTTTATGGCTTGTGCCATTTGGAGTTGTGGCCTGAACTGTATCTGTGGTCCTTTTCACTGAGGCTGTTGATGGAACTACCAGGATTCTGGGAGCAGGGCAACGGAGCCCTGGGCCTGGCCCCGGAAACTATTCTTTCCTCCTGGGCCTCTAGGTCTGTGATGGGAGGGTCTGCCTCAGAGATTCTGAAATGCCTTCAAGCACTTTTTTCTGTTGTCTTGACTATTAGCACTTGGTTCTCTTGCAGCTACGTTAGTCTCTCTAAAAAGTGGTTGTTCCTTAGCCTGCTTGGATTCTTCCCCTGAAAATGCTCTTTTCTTCTCTACCACATAGCCAGGCTGCAGATTTTCCAAATTTTTACACTATGCTTCCCTTATAATGACAAGTTCCAACTTCAGTTTTTCCTCTGCTTCCATATCTTATCTTAGATTGTTAGAAGAAGCTAGGGCAAATCTTGAATGCTTTGCTGCTTAGAAATTTCTTCTGCCAGATATGCTAAGTCATCACTCTTAAGTTCAACCTTTCATAAAACTGTAGGACATGGACACAATGAAGCAAAGCTCTTTGCTAGGGTACAATAAGGGTGACCTTTGCTCTAGCTCCCAGTAACTTCTTCATTTTTGTCTGGGACCTTATCAGCTTGGCCTTCACTATCTATATTTCTTTTTTTTTTTTAATTTTGTTTGTTCTTATAGTTTCTTGTTGGAAAAACACTGTCTATATTTCTATCAGTACCTTGATCACAACCAGTTAACCAGTCTCTAAGAAGTTCCAAACTTTCTCTTGTCTTCCTGTCTTCTTCTGAGCCCTCCAAACTCTTCTAGTGTCTGTCTGTTACCCAGCTTCAAAGCTGCTTCCACATCTTCAAGTATCTTTATAGCAACATCCCACTCCTCGGTAACAATTTTCTGTGTTAGTCCACTTGTGTTGCTATAAAGAAATACCAGAAGCTGGGTAATTTATAAAGAAAAGAGGTTTATTTTGGCTCATGATTCTGCAGGATGTACAGGAAACATGGTGTTGGCATCTGCTTCTGGTGAGGGCCTCAGCAAGCTTCTAATGATGGTGGAATGTGAAGAGGGAGCAGCGTGTCACATGTTGAGAGAGGGAGCAAGAGAAAGGGAGGAGAGAGCTGCCTGGCTCTTTGAAGTGACCACATCTTATGTGAAATTGAGTGAGAACTTACTCATTACTGCAAGGAGGGCACTAAGCCATTCATGAGGGATCCACCTCCATGACCCAAACACCTTTCACCAGGTCCACCTCCAACATCGGGGATCACATTTCAACATGAGATTTGGAGGGCATGCACACGCCAACCATATTACCTATGGGGGAGTCAACATAATGAGAAACTGAGGCCTCTTACCAATGGCATGTGAATGACTTGAAGTGGCTGTTTCTTGGAAGCAGATCTTCCAGCCCTAGTCAAGCCTTCAGATAACTGCAGTCCTGGCCAACAACTTGACTGAAACCTCATAAGACAGCCTGAGTCAGAAAGACCCAAATAAACCACTCCAAGATTTTTGACTGTCAGGAACTTTGTGAGTTAATAGATAATTGTTTCTTTTAGTTGCTAAGTTTTGGAGGTAATTTGTTATGCAGCAATAGGTAACTAACGAATACCCCAAGTACAAAAATATATGTATTTGCCCATGGAATCCAACCCAGTGCTGGTCACATGGAGGGCATGGAATTCAACAAATACTTGAAAAACAAACTGAAATTAAAGGGAAGAATGACAGGGAAGCGGAATGTATGCAGGCACACTTGCCATTTATCCCCAGCTAGGAGGCTGGCTGTTTGTCTTACACAGATGGCCAGAATGATGCCATGAAGGTCTTTTCTCCAACTTCCTTGGCCTGATAACAAATGTGCTTCCAGGTGTGACAGCCTGAGCCATTGTTTCAAATGAGCCCAGCCTTCTTCCCCTCTCTTTTGAAAAAAGCTCTCACTTTATTGAGGTATAATTGTAGCACAAAAACTGTATTTAATTAATGTATACAATCTGATGAATTTGGAGATAAATATATGCCCATGAAACCATCCCACAATCGGATCCGGTCTCTCCCTCTCCCTCTCCCTCTCCCTCTCCCTCTGTCTCCCTCTCCCCACGGTCTCCCTCTCATGCGGAGCCGAAGCTGGACTGTACTGCTGCCATTTCGGCTCACTGCAACCTCCCTGCCTGATTCTCCTGCCTCAGCCTGCCGAGTGCCTGCCATTGCAGGCACGCGCCGCCACGCCTGACTGGTTTTGGTGGAGACGGGGTTTCGCTGTGTTGGCCGGGCCGGTCTCCAGCCCCTAACCGTGAGTGATCCCGCCAACCTCAGCCTCCCGAGGTGCCGGGATTGCAGACGGAGTCTCGTTCACTCAGTGCTCAATGGTGCCCAGGCTGGAGTGCAGTGGCGTGATCTCGGCTCACTACAACCTACACCTCCCAGCCGCCTGCCTTGGCCTCCCAAAGTGCCGAGATTGCAGCCTCTGCCCGGCCGCCACCCCGTCTGGGAAGTGAGGAGTGTCTCTGCCTGGCCGCCCATCGTCTGGGATGTGAGGAGCCCCTCTGCCTGGCTGCCCAGTCTGGAAAGTGAGGAGCGTCTCCGCCCGGCCGCCATCCCATCTAGGAAGTGAGGAGCGCCTCTTCCCAGCCGCCATCACATCTAGGAAGTGAGGAGCGTCTCTGCCTGGCCGCCCATCGTCTGAGATGTGGGGAGCGCCTCTGCCCCGCCGCCCCATCTGGGATGTGAGGAGCGCCTCTGCCTGGCCGAGACCCCGTCTGGGAGGTGAGGAGCGTCTCTGCCTGGCCGCCCCGTCTGAGAAGTGAGGAGACCCTCTGCCTGGCAACCACCCCGTCTGAGAAGTGAGGAGCCTCTCCGCCCGGCAGCCACCCCATCTGGGAAGTGAGGAGCATCTCCGCCCGGCAGCCACCCCGTCCGGGAGGGAGGTGGGGGGGGGGTCAACCCCCCGCCCGGCCAGCCGCCCCATCTGGGAGGGAGGTGGGGGGTCAGCCCCCCCGCCCGGCCAGCCGCCCCGTCCGGGAGGTGAGGGGCGCCTCTGCCCGGCCGCCCCTACTGGGAAGTGAGGAGCCCCTCTGCCCGGCCACCACCCCGTCTGGGAGGTGTGCCCAACAGCTCATTGAGAACGGGCCAGGATGACAATGGCGGCTTTGTGGAATAGAAAGGCAGGAAAGGTGGGGAAAAGATTGAGAAATCGGATGGTTGCCGTGTCTGTGTAGAAAGAAGTAGACATGGGAGACTTTTCATTTTGTTCTGCACTAAGAAAAATTCCTCTGCCTTGGGATCCTGTTGATCTGTGACCTTACCCCCAACCCTGTGCTCTCTGAAACATGTGCTGTGTCCACTCAGGGTTAAATGGATTAAGGGCGGTGCAAGATGTGCTTTGTTAAACAGATGCTTGAAGGCAGCATGCTCGTTAAGAGTCATCACCAATCCCTAATCTCAAGTAATCAGGGACACAAACACTGCGGAAGGCCGCAGGGTCCTCTGCCTAGGAAAACCAGAGACCTTTGTTCACTTGTTTATCTGCTGACCTTCCCTCCACTATTGTCCCATGACCCTGCCAAATCCCCCTCTGTGAGAAACACCCAAGAATTATCAATAAAAAAATAAATTAAAAAAAAAAAAAAAAGAAACCATCCCACAATCAATCTGCCTCTTTGTGGACGCAGTTCTACATGTGACCCTGTAGTTAGGGCAGACTTCCAGTGTAACAATCTCAGAAGCCCAAGTGTGGAAAGGCGTGATAATATCACAATGAGGAGGAGGAGGAGGTCATTGTATCTTTCAATATAACTGTGTCCATGACTTCCTGTCTCTGTACACACATTTTTCCTTCCCCACCTTTAGTTAGATCCTCTTAATTGCTCTAGTGTGTTATATGCCATCCAGGGATTTGACCTCATGTAGGGGTGGGAGCTGGTGATGGCAGTCGCCTTCATATTTGGTGCTGGAACTTGAAGGTATCCACAGAAAGGGTACCTGGAAAATAAGATGAATATGAAATGGGGAGAGCAAGAAGGAGCTGAAATGCATCAGCTGGAGCCCGGGAGAACAGATAGAAACTCAGACTCTTTCTTGTGTTCTCTCTGCCCTTGATGGTCTGCATGTCCTGGAGAAGCCAGGTCTTTCATCACACACAGCTGGCCCAGCAGTCAGAGAAGCTGAAGGAGGATTGGGGGGAAGGTGGAGCAGCAGGAGGCCTGGCTGTTCCTCACACCAAGGAGGTGCATCCGCAGATGAGGAGTGAATGCCAAGGGCATGTGAATGCCTTGAAGTGGCTATTTCTTGGAAGCAGATATTATAAGGTGAGTTACAAGATGGTGGCTGCTTCATGTCTCTGCTTCAAATACTGCACTAGAGCCTTTCTTTGGCTCCCTCTGGCCAGAAACACACGAGAAAGGCAACAGTGGGAATGTGGTTCAGCCTGGCCAACTGGACACCTTACAAAGCTGCCACATCTAGCCCCAAAGAGATTCTATCAGACAAGGCCAAAATAAAATAAGCCCATTTAATGAAATTGTTTGTTTTAAATTGTACTAGAAAAGCAGTAATCAATTTTTCTGGTGTCATGCCTCTTTGACATTCTTAAAAATAATTGAGGATCCCAAATGGCTTTTGTTTATGTGGATCATAGCTATTGATATATATCCTTTTAGAAATTAAAACAAATAAATCTAAAAATTAACATTAATTTATTTAAAAATAATAACAAACCATTACATGTTAATATAAATAAAATATTTTCATAAAAATAACTACATTTTCCAAAATAAAGGCTATTTAGGGAGAAGAATGGCATTGTTTTACATTTTTAAAATATTTTTAATGCCTACCTTAATAGAAGGCAGCTGGATTCTCATAGTTGGCTCTGTACTCAATCTGTCGTGACGTCACTCATCATGTAGCCTCTGGAAAATTCCACTCTAGACTCATAAGAGGATGAGACAAATAATGTCTTAGTGTTATCATGAAAATAGTTTTGACTTCATGAATCTCTTGAAAGGATCTTGGAGACCCCCAGAGTCCCTGGACCATACTTTGAGAACCACTTTACTGGAGAAAAATGCATTGTTCTCTAATTTTGGTGAAGCACTGGGGAAAAAACTACAACTTGGAAGTTGTGGCTCTAAACCTCTGAGCTGTAAAGCCTATGGCTGTCTGCAAGTGAATTCCCGAGGCAATGATCTGGATAATATAAGTCCAAGCAATATGCTAATGGCTCCATTATTTGACTAGTGCAGGTATTTGTCCCTATCATTGCAAGAATATCATGGCAATATTTTGTCTCTGAAGATACTAATAGTAAGAGACAAAAGAATTGGAAAGAGAGAGGGCTAGAGAAAGAACAGGGACAGGAAGAAAGAAGAAACAGAATGTCACTGGTGCAAGCATCTGTCTGCAGACCCCAGAGCCCATTTGCTGCTAAGGAAGATGCTCTGGAGTTATGTGTATGGACTCTGAAGAGGTTGACCTTAGAAGCAGTTTTGCCAGCCTCAGGAATCAGTTTCCATGCATTTCCTGAAGTTGTAGACAGTGGTCCAAGAATTCTTGGTGGGAGGAATGAGCTCATTGTGAATATTTACACATTTTCAGTGCCCTTGGCCCATCCCTAGCATGTTTACCAGGAGAATGTAAACCACATTATTGTACCATTTGCCTGTTTATTATTGAGGTTTTCATGTGACTCAAAATATTTTTGCAGGTTTCTTTCAAGAAGTATTTGTTTTAAAGTTGATTATAAGGCAAAACTCTTTTCTCCTAGAAAATATGAACATATTCATTGAGAAGCTAACTGCTGTTCAAGATAATATAAATTTTTGCAATATCCTTATTATAAATCAAAGCCCTTATTTGGAATTAAAGTCCCTAAAAGATCAACATTTTTTTGTTTTCATCAAGCCGTGGGCCTTAGCCCAGTTTTCAGAAATATTTTGGAAAAGTACCAGCTCGTGATACCAATCATCCAGATATTGTTTGGACATAGCCACTATTTTTATAATCATTACCCTCTCATTGAACCTTCATGGAATGAAGATAAAGTCATGGTCAATGTTTTCCTGAAAATAAACTTTAAAAATGCAACATGATTTTCTTTTAAATTAAATTAAAATGATGAGCCATTAAAAACAATTTTATTTCAATAGTTTTTGGGGTACAGGTGGTTCTTGGTTACAAGGATATGTTATTTGGTGGTGATTTCTGAGATTTTAGGGCACCTGTCACCTGAGCAGTGTACACTGTACCCAGTATATAGTCTTTTACCCCTTACCCCCTTCCAGCCTTCCCCGCTGAGTCCTCAAAGTCCATTATATCATTCTTGTGTCTTTGGGTCCTCATAGCTTAGCTCCCACTTATAAGCAGGAAATTTGATGTTTGGTTTTCCATTCTTGAGTTACTTCACTTAGAATAATGGCCTCCAGCTCCATCTAAGTTGCTGCAAAAGACATTATTTCATTCCTTTGTATGGCTGAGAAGTATTCCTTGCTATGTATATACCACATTTTCTTCATCTACTTGTTTGTCGATGGGCACTTAGGTTGGTTCCATATCTTTGCAATTGCAAATTTTGTTGCTATAACCATGCGTGTGCAAGTGTCTTTTTCATATAATGACTTCTTTTCCTCTGGGTAGATACCCAGTAGTGGGATTTCTGGATGGAATGGTAGCTCTACTTTTATTTCTTTAAGTAATCTCCATACTGTTTTCCAGAGTGGTTGTATTAACTTACATCTCCAGCAGTAGTGTAAAAGTGTTCCCTTTTCACCACATTTTTGACTTTTTACTTATGGCAATTATTGCAGGAGTAAGGTGGTTTAAATAATCATTTCCCAGATGATTAGTGGTGTCAAGCACTTTTTCTTTTTTATTTATTGTCGAGTATTTTTACTTAATATGTTCACGACATTCATTCAAGCTGTTGCAAATAGCAGTAGTTATGCTCTTCTTTCGGTTTTTTATTTTATGACTATTTTACAATTTATTATTATTTTTTAAACTTTTATTTTAGGTTTGGGGGTACATGTGAAGGTTTGCTACATAGGTAAACATGTGTCACCGGGGTTTTTGTACATATTATTTCCTCATCCAGGTATTAAGCCAAGCACCCAATGTTATATTTCTGCTCCTCTCCCTCCTCTCATGCTCCCTCTTCAAGTATAACCCAGTGTCTGTTATTTCCTTCTTTGTGTACATAAGTTCTTATCATTTAGCTCCCACTTGTAAGTGAGAATATACAGTATTTAGTTTTCTGTTTCTGCATTAGTTTGCTAAGGATAATAGCCTCCAGCTCCATCCACGTTCCCACAAAAGACATAGTCTCATTCTTTTTTATGGCTGCGTAGTATTCCATGTTGTATATGTACCACATTTTCTGTAACCAATCTGTCATTGATGGACATTTAGGTTGATTCCATGTCTTTGCTATTGTGAATAGTGCTGCAATGAACATTTGTGTACATGTGTCTTTATGGTAGAAGGATTTATATTCCTCTGGGTATATACTCAGTAATGGGATTGCCAGGTCGAATTGTAGTTCTGCTTTTAGCTCTTTGAGGAATTGCCATAATGCCTTCCGCAATGGTTGAACTAATTTACACTTTCACTGACAGTGTGTAAGTGTTCCTTTCTCTGCAACCTCACCAGCCTGTGTTATTTTTTGACTTTTTAATCGTAGCCATTCAGACTGGTGTGAGATGGTATATCGTTGTGGTTTTGATTTGCATTTCTCTAATGATCAGTTATGCTGAGCTTTTTAAATATGCTTGTTGGCTGCATGTATGTCTTCTTTTGAGAAGCATCTGTTCATGTCCTTTGCCCACTTTTTAATGGGGTTGTTTTTCTCTCATAAATTTGTTTAAGTTCCTTATAGATGCTGGATATTAGACTTTGTCAGATGCTTAGTTTGCAAATATTTTCTCCCATTCTGTAAGTTGTCTGTTTACTCTGTTGATAATTTTTTTTGCTGTTCAGGAGCGCTTAAGTTTAATTAGATACCATTTGTCAATTTTCCTGTGTCCAGGATGGTATTGCCTAGGTTGTCTTCCAGGGTTTTTATGGTTTTGGGTTTTACATTTAAGTCTTTAATCCATGTTGAGTTAATTTTTGTATATGATGTCAGGGTCCAGTATCAATCTTCTGCATATGGCTAGCCAGTTATCCCAGCACCATTTATTGAATGGGGAGTCTTTTCCCCATTGCTTGCTTTTGTCATTTTTGTCAAAGATCAGATGGTCGTACATATGCGACCTTATTTTTGAGCTCTCTATTCTGTTCCTTTGGTTTATGTGCCTGCATTTTCACCAGTACTATGCTATTCTGGTTACTGTAGCCTTGTAATATAGTTTGAAGTCAGGTGATGTGATGCCTCTAGCTTTGTTCCTCTTGCTTAGGATTGCATTGACTATTTGGGCTCTTTTTTGGTTTCATGTGAATTTAAAAATAGTTTTTTTCCTGTTCTGTGAAGAATGTAATTGGTAGTTTTATAGGAATAGCATTGAATCTATAATTTGCTTTGGACAGTATAGCCATTTTAATGATACTGATTCTTCCTATCCATGAGCACGGAATTTTTTTCCATTTGTTTGTATCTTCTCTGATTTCTTTGAGTAATGTTTTGTAATTCTCTTTGCAGAGGATCTTTCACCTCCCTGGTTAGCTGTATTCCTAAGTATTTTATTCTTTTTGTGGCAGTTGTGAATGGGATGGCTTTTCTGATTTGGCTGTTGTTGGTGTATAGGAATGCTGGTGATTTTTATATTGATTATGTATCCTGCAACTTTGCTGAGGTTGTTTATCAGCTGGAGGTACTTTTGGAGCTGAAACTATGGGGTTTTCTAGGTATAAAATCATGTCGTTTGCAAACAGAGGTAGTTTGACTTCCTCTCTTCCTATTTTATGCCCTTGATTTCTTTCCCTTGCCTGATTGCTCTGGCTAGGACTTCCAATACTATTTTGAATAGAAGTGGTGAGAGAGGGCAAGGAAATCCTTGTCTTGTGCCACTTTTCAAGGGGAATTCTTCCAGCTTTTGCCCATTCAATATAATGTTGGCTGTGGGTTTGTAATAGATGGCTCTTACCATTTTGGGGTATCTTCCTTCAATACTTAGTTTATCGAGTGTTTTTAACAGGAAGGGGTGTTGAATTTTGTCAAAAGCCTTTTCTTCTGCATCTATTGAGATAATCATGTGGTTTTTGTCTTTAGTTCTGTTTATGTGATTAATCACATTCATTGATTTGAGTATGTTGAACCAACTTCTCATCCTGGGGATGGAGCCTACTTGATCATGGTGGATTACCTTTTTTTTTTTTTTTTTTTTTGAGATAGAGTCTCGCTCTGTCACCCAGGCTGGAGTGCAGTGGCATGATCTCGGCTCACTGCAACCTCCACCTCCTGGGTTCAAGCAATTCTCCTGCCTCAGCCTCCTGAGTAGCTGGGATTAGAGGTACCCCTGACCACGTCCAGCTAATTTCTTTTTTTTTTTTGAGATGGAGTCTCGCTTTGTTGCTCAGGCTGGAGTGCAGTGGCGTGATCTCTGCTCACTGAGAGCTCTGCCTCCCGGGTTCATGCCATTCTCCTGCCTCAGCCTCCCGAGTAACTGGGACTACAGGTGCCCGCCACCATGCCTGGCTAATTTTGTTTTTGTGTTTTTAGTAGAGACTGAGCTACTGCGCTTAGCCTGGATTAACTTTTTGATATGCTACTGGATTCAGTTTGCAAGCATTTTGTTGAGACCTTTTGCATCAATGTTCATCAAGGATATTGGCCCGAAGTTTTCCTTTTTGTGTGTGTCTCTGCCAGGTTTTGGTATCAAGATGATCCTGGCCTCATAGAATGAGTTGGGGAGAAGTTTCTCCTCCTCAATTTTTTGGAATAGTTTCCGTAGGAATGGTACCAGCTCTTCTTTGTACATCTGGTAGAGTTTGGCTATGAATTCATTAGGTCCTGGTGTTTTTTTTTGTTGTTGTTGGTAGGCTATTTATTGCTGATTTAATTTCAGAGCTCATTATTGGTCTCTTCTGGCTATCAATTTCTTCCTGGTTGAGCACTTTTTCATATGTTTGTTGGCGGTTTGTATATCTTCTTTTGAGAATCGTCTATTCATGTCCTTTGCCCATTTTTTAATGGGTTTGCTTTTTCCTTACTGGTTTGAGTTCCTTGTAGATTCTGGATATTAATCCTTTGTTGGATGCATAGTTAGTGAATATTTTATCCCACCCTGTGGGTTGTCTGTTTACTCTGTTGATTATTTCCTTTGCTGTGCTAAAGCTTTTAAGTCTAATTAGGTTCCAACTATTTATTTTTGATTTTGTTGTATTTGCTTTTGGGGTCTTAGTCATGAATTATTTGCCTAAGCCAATGTCTAAAAGAATTTTTCCAATGTTATCTTCTAGAATTTTTATAATTTCAGGTTTAGATTTAAGTTTTTGATCCATCTTGAGTTGATTTTTGTGTAAGGTGAGAGATGGGATTCAGTTTCATTCTTCTACATGTGGCTTGCCAGTTTTCCCAGCACCGTTTGTTGAATAGGGTATGTTTTCCCCAATTTATGTTTTTATATGCTTGTTGAAGATCAGCTAGCTCTAAGTATTTGGCTTTATTTATAGGTTCTCTATTTTGTTCCATTGGCTGACATGCCTATTTTTATACCAGTACCATGCTGTTTAGGTAACTATAGCTTTGTAGTATAATTTGACATTGGGTAATGTGATGCCTCCAGATTTTTTCCTTTTGCTTAGTATTGCTTTGGTTATGCAGGTTCTTTTCTTGTTCATGTATGAATTTTAGTATTGTTTTCTAGTTCTATGAAGAATGACAATGGCATTTTATGGGAATTGCATTGAATGTGTAGATTGCTTTTGGCAGTATGGTCATTTTCACAATATTGATTCTTCCCATCCATGAGCATGGGATGTGTTTCCATTTGGGTCCTCTATGATTTATTTCATCAATGTTTTGTAGTTTTCCTTGTAGAGATCTTTCACCTTCTTGGTTAAGTATATTTCTACATATTTTACTCTTTTTTTTTTGGCAGCTGTTGTAAAAGGGATTGAGTTCTTGATTTGACTCTCAGCATGGTCATTGTTGGTGTATAGCAGTGCTACTGATTTGTGTACATTGATTTTGTATCTTGAGACTTTATTGAATTCATTTATCAAATCTAAAGAACTTTCAGGGTGAGTCTTTAGGGTTTTCTAGGTATACAATCATATAATCAACAAGCAGCAATAGTTTCTCTTGTCTGATTTTCTTGTTTGATTGTCTTGTCTTTCTCTTGTCTAATTGCTCTGGCTAGGACTTCCAGTATTATGTTGAATATAAGTGGTGAAAGTGGGCATTCTTGTCTTGCTCTTGTTCTCAGGGGGAATGCTTTCAACTTTTCCCTATTCAGTATAATGTTGGCTGTGGGTTTGTCTTGTATGGCTTTTATTACTTTGAGGTAAGTCCCTTCTATGTCTATTTTGTTAAGATTTTTTTTTTAATCATAAAGAGTTACTGGATTTCATCAAATGCTTTCTCTGCATATTGAGATGATCATATGGTTTTTTAAAAAAATTTCTGTTTATGTGATGTATCACATTTATTGACTTGTGTATGTTAAACCATCCCTGCATCTCTGGTATGAAACCCACTTGATCATGATGTATTATCTGTTTGATATGGTGTTGGATTCAGTTAGCTAGTATTTTGTTGATGATTTTTACATCTATATTCATTGGGGATATTGGTCTGTAGTTTTCTTTTTTTGTTATTTTTTTCCTGGTTTTGGTATTGGAGTGATACTGGCTTCATAAAATGATTTAGGGAAGATTCTCTTTATCTTTTGGAATAGTTTCAGTAGAATTTGTACCAATTATTCTTTGAATGTCTGACAGAATTCAGCTGTGAATCCATCTGGTCCTGAACTTTTTTGTTGGCATTTAAAAAATTACTGATTCAATATTGCTGCTGGTTATTGGTCTGTTCAGCATTTATATGTATTCCTGACTTAATCTAGGAGGTTTGCATATTTCCAGGAATTTATCCATTTTCTCTAGATTTTGTAGTGTGTGTGCATAAAGCTGTTCATAGTACCTTTGAATCATCTTTTGTATTTCTGTGGTATTGGTTGTAATATCTCCAGTTTCTTTCTAATTGAGCTTATTTGACTCTTTTCTCTTCTTTTCTTGGTTAATCCTGCTAAAGGTCTATCAATTTTGTTTATCTTTATAAAGAAACAGCTTTTCGTTTCATTTCTCTTTTGTATTTTTTTCTTTTTGTGAGACAGAGTCTCCATCTGTCACACAGGCTGGAGTGCAGTGGCATGACCTCGACTCACTGCAACCTCTGCCTCCCTGGTTCAAGTGATTCTCCTGTCAGCCTCCCAAGTAGCTGAGATGACAGGTGTGCACCACCATGCCTGGATAATTTTTGTATTTTTACAAAAAAATACAATATTATTTTATATTCTTTTGGAGATGAGTTTCACCATGCTGGCCAAGCTCTTCTCAAACTCCTGACCTCAAGTGATCTGACTGCTTTGGCTTCCCAAAGTGCTGAGATTACAGGCGTGAACTACTGCACCCAGCCATTGTGTTGTTTTTGTTTTTGTTGTTGTTGTTTTCTTTCAATTTCATTTAGTTCTGCTCTTATCTTTGTTATTTCTTTTTTTCTCCTGGGTTTGGGTTTAGTTTGTTCTTGTTTCTGTAGTTCCTTATTGTATAACCTTAGATTGTCTATTTGTGCTCTTTCAGATGTTTTGATGTCGGCATTGAAAGCTATAAACTTTTTTCTTAGCACCACTTTTGCTGTATCCCATAGGTTTTGGTAAGTTGTGTCACTATTATCATTTATTTCAAATAATTTTTACATTTCCATCTTGATTTCATTGTTAGCTGAAAAATTACTCAAGAGCAGATTATTTAATTTCCATGTATTTGCATAGTTTTGAGGGTTCCCTTTGGAGTTGATTTCCAGTTTTATTCTACTGTGGTCTGAGAAGATACTTTATATGATTTCTACTTTCTTAAATTTATTGAGACTTGTTTTGTGGTCTATCATATGGTCTATCTTGGAGAATGTTTCATGTGCTGATTAGAAGAATGTATATTCTGCAGTTGTTTGGTAGAATGTTCTGTAAATATCTGTTAAGTCCATTTGTTCTAGGGTATAGTTTAAGTCCATTGTTTCTTTATTGGCCCTCTGTCTTGATGATCTGTCTAGTGCTATCAGTGGAGTATCGAGGTCCCCCACTATTATTGTGTTGCTGTCTATCTTACTTCTTAGGTCTAGTAGTAATTGCCTTGTAAATCTGGGAGCACCTGTGTTGAATGCATACAAATTTAGGATTGTAATATCTTCCTGTTGGACTAATCCTTTTATCATTATATAATGCCCTTCTTTGTCTTTCTTTTCTTTTTTTATTGTTGTTGCTTTAAAGTCTACTTAGTCTGATATGAGAATAGCTACTCTTGCTTGCTTTTAGTTTACATTTGCATGAAATATCTTTTTCCACCCTTTTATCTTAAGTTTATAGGAATGCTTGTGTGTTAGGTGAGTCTCTTGAAGTCAGCAGATATTTGGTTGGTGATTTTTTTTTGTCCATTGTGCCATTCTGTATCTTTTAAGCGGGACATTTAGGCCACTTACATTCAACTTTAATACTGAGATATAAGGTACTGTTCTATTTATCTTGTTAGTTGTTGCCTAAATACTTTGTTTGTTCATTGTGTTTTTGTCTTATAGGCCCTTTGAAATTTATGCTTTAAGGAGGTTCTATCTTAGTTCACATTGAGCTTTGTTTCAAGGTTTAGAACTCCTTTCAGCATTTCTTGTAGTATTGGTTTGTTAGTGGCGAATTCCCCCAGCATTTGTTTGTCTGAAAAAGAATTCATCTCTCCCTCATTTATGAAGCTTAGTTTTGTTGAATACACAATTCTTGGCTGACAATCATTTTGTTTAAGAAGGCTAAAGATATGTCCTGGGTCTCTTCTGGCTTGTAAGGCTTCTGCTGAGAAATCTGCCATTAGACTGATAGGTTTTCCCTTATAGGTTACCTGATGCTTTTGTCTCACAGCTTTTAAAATTATTTCCTTCATGTTGACTTTAGATAACCTGATGACTATGTGCCTTGGTGATGATCTTTTTGCAATGCATTTCCCAGGAGTTCTTTAAGCTTCGTGTATTTGGATATCTAGATCTCTAAGACCAAGGAAGTATCTAAGACCAGGGAAGTTTTCCTCAATTATTCCCTCAAACAAGTTCTCCAAACTTTTAGACTTCTTTTCTCCCTCAGGAACACCAATTATTCTTAGAGTTGGCTGTTTTACAAAATTCCATATTTCCTGATGACTTTATTTATTTTGATTCTTTTTTTCTTTGTCTTTTCTGGTTGGGTTAATCCTAAAGCCTTGTTTTCAAGCCCTAAAATTCTTTCTTCTACTTGTTCTAGTCTGATGGGCAATTTTTATTTCATGTCTTTTCTGATTCTAAAACTGTTGCATATTTATTGTACCAAAATTGAATAAAACAGGGCATTAAAAAATCACTTGTATACCTACTACTGTTCAAACATGTTTTAGTCTATGTTCTTCCAATAACTTTTCCAAACCCTATCTATGTATACAGTATATACATGCATGCATATCTGTACGTATGACTTTTAAACAAAATTGAGTATGCATCAAAGTTTTGATAAGCCCAGGGTATCCATTTTGAGTGTCTCAATGAGTTGAAATTTCCCTTGTGTGAGAGAAGGAGCTGGCTTGCATCTCTGTGTGGTGATTTGGGCTGGGAGTGACTCCAGTATTGCTCCACGGTCATCAGCTTATGAAAATCTCCCTGCAGGTAGGAGTAAGGTGCCCAGAGACAAAGTGGCTTTGAGTCCCTATGTGTTGGTAAAGGGCACAGGGTGAGGGCAGGTTTGGGATGTTGGGCATATTCATTCTCAGCCAGGAGAAGGCGAGACCCTTGCCCACCCCAGCTCTTGGCTGGCAGCATGGCAGCACTGGGCACTCAGCCTCAAAATGGTGCTGGGCTCAGAGAGCAGGAGTTGGTCAGGAAAGAGGGGCCAGACAGGGGAGCAGAAGCAACCTCAGTCTACCCCTCTGTAAGCACCCCCCTTTAGCAATGAAGACGAAGTTCTCAGGAAACTAGTAGGGAGAGGGGAAGAGGCATAGTAAGAAAGAGGAAGACAAAGAGCAAGTATGTGACTGAGAACATATGTGTGTTTGTCTGTGTGTGTGTGTGTGATGTATGTGTGGTGTGTGTATAGTGTGCCTAGTGTGTATGGTATGTAAAGGAAAATAAAAAAATACCAGGACTCCCAAACTTGAGCCGGGAGGCTGAGCCATGCAACACCAGCTTCCAAATGAATAGCTGTAGCATTGTGCACCAGCCAGGTCCCCATGGACAGGTAGGAGGCCTCAGGGATCTACCATGGGCTGCCCCACAGATCATTCAGGAGTAAATTTTTTGCTGGCCTCCCATAAACAAGGACATGCCAATTGTAATTTTAGGTGTACAATCTAAGTCTGGCTCCTAAAACTAAAGTCTGTTCATTCCATACTGATAGTGTCAATTACAAGCTTATCTTCCCAGGTGTAGAATAAAGACTCCTCCCTCCTACCCAGAGATGGCTGCATAATTAACTTGTCCTTTACACCCTTTTTTTCCTTTAAACATTCAGCTTCTCTTATGTGAAATGTAGATTAACTGGGCACTAACTAAAGTGTAACAGGAATGTAACCATTTGCTTTACTATCTACCTGCCCCTCTTTCTGTCTGCCATCCCTCAATTTAAGGAAATGTATAAATACTAAGTCTCCTGAAAACCTCTTTGGAAAAACATCCAGGGATGTGTCTGTGGCTAATTTTTTTTTCCAGATGCACCCTAAAGCTGGCTTAATAAACCTTGGTGATTGAGACCTTTGCCTTAGTCACTCATCTTGGTTATCAGGTGTGTGTATGTGTGCACTGTATGGAGGGTGTGTGTGATGTATGTGATAAATAACCAGCATTTGGAAGCTGACACCACAGGAGTGGCCACTCAAGGCCCAGCCATTGGAAGGGCACACCAGACGGGGACAGAAGACTCCAGGAGTGAGAGAGACTGACCAGTTCAGGGTTCAGAGCTCATCCCAGTCTCTCTTCTGCAGACCTCCCTCTTGGTCTAGAGCTCTTATCAAGAACTCTAAGCCCCAGGTAGAGGGACGGAGAAGCAACAATGCCATACCCTGCCTGGATCGCAGACCAGAATGTGAGAATGAAAGTTCTGGCTTGAACTCCTCTAAGGCTCCCCATGCCCTCTGGATCGAACCCCAACTCCTTCCTGGGCCGTGGACTCTGTGGCTCCTTGCAAGTTCATCTGCCCACAGGCCACATGCAGGGGGCTGCTGCTTGTGTCCCACACCCTGCCTTGCTCTCCCAGCTCTGGGCTGTGAATCCGTCTCCTTGGAAAATGTGTCTGCTGCCTCTGTTGAATTCCTTAGGATTCTGCCTCACTGTTTTCTTTCTCCAGAGGCTTTTCTCTAATGGTCCCCAATCTGGGTCAGGTGTCCTCTGTGTGCCCTATGGCCCCGATACGATCTCTTGTCTTGGCCTGTCCTGACCAGCATAACTTTGAACAAACTGTTTTGCTTAAATGGGCTTCTGGCTTCTTCATCTAGCAAATCAGAGTTGGACCATGCGATGTGAAGTCCTCTTGTGAGAGAACCTGTGTGATTCTCCAAATTTTTTTTTATATTAGTTATTTAACCAGCTTTTAACTTCTACTCCTCTAAGCAGCTGGAGGAGAGAGGAGGAGGAAGGTGACCTGGCAATTCACCTTTAGAAACTCTTTTCAGCTCTTTGCCCAAAAAAGTGAACTTGGTTTCTGGGCTATCCTGGCCATGTTCACAGGGCTGGAAACTACTTGGATTGATCGAATGGGACCAAGGATATGAGGAGATGGGAAACTGTGTTATGGTTCCTAGTTGGCCAGTTGCTCCCCTCTCTTCATGCCTAGAGGGGCATGTGGTCATTAGCCAGCTGCTTTGAAAGGAAAGGAAATCACCTCTCTAGAAGTAGAACCCTCCCACATCCAGGCTCGGGAGGCTTTGGCAATTGACTCACTTTTCAGACCAGTGAGGAATGGTTTGGGCTTTTGAATCACAATCCAAGAAGAAGGTCCACCAGATGCCTGCCTTTAATGACAAGAAGAATTTTGTTTGAATTAATTGTTTCATTACAGCTGCCTGCACATGATAAGCTGTTTCAGGTTGAGAACCAGAGCAACACAGGAGCTCACTGGGTACTTCTACACATCCCACTCCGTTTTGTTATTGCTATTGTTGTTTCTTTCCTTTTAACAATTTCTCTTTTTGAAATAATTTTGGACTTACAAGAAATTGCAAAAAATAGTACAATGTTACTGAGTATGTGATTCTCACCCCTAGCACTGTGTATGCATGTGTGTGTGTGCACACTTGTGTATGTGTATAGTTTATAGTTTTTTTTTAAGTATTTAAGAATAAATTGCAGACATTTGGTTCTCTTATTGGAGCACTTCACTGTGCATTTACAAAATCCAAGGGTATTCTCTTTTATAACTATAGTGCAACTATCAAAGCAGGAAATTAACATCGATACAGTTCTATTATCTAATCTACAGACCTTATTCCAATTTTTCTGGGTGTCCCACTAATGTTATTTTTCTGATCCAGCATCCCACATTGCTTTTTGTTGTCCTGTCTCCTTGGTATCCTCTAATCTGGAATAGTCCCTTAGTCTTTTTTTAATCTTCCATGGCCTTGACGTTTGTGAAGAGTGGTGTTCATTATTTAGTTGAATATCCCTCTAAATGGGTTTGCCTGATGTTTCTGCAGAACGTGTGTGTGTGTGTGTGTGCGCACGTGTGCGATGTGTGTTTGTGATGTGTGTGTGGGCATACAGTTCATGCATTTTTGGCAGAGATACAACAGAAGTGGTGTTGTGTCAGATCAGGAGGAACGTGGTAGCAATTTGTCCCATTGCTGGTGATGGTAGTGACAGTTACTTGGTGAACACAGTGTCACAGGTTTCTTCACTGCCAGGTTCCTATTTTCCCCTTTGTCATTAATGAGAATCTTGGGAGGTGATACTTTGAGACTATGCAAATATCCTGCTCCCTATCACACTTTTGCCAATTGATTTTAGCATCTTTTGATGATTTTTGCCTAAAACAGTCATTACAGTTGTGGGTGCCAAGTGGTTTTCTAATTCTGTCACTCCTTTTGCATATATGAGTCGGCATTCCACTGCGAGGAAGAGCTGGCCCTTCTCCCATATTTATTTGCTCATATCTGTGTGGGTGCATGGATTCCTTGTCTATGATATAGGTTACAATCCCTCATTATCACTATTTAGTTCAAATTATTCCAAATTTGACCAGTGGATGCCTTTTTCAGCTGGCTCCTGGGTCCTCTTGCTGTGTCTCCATCCTCTTCTAACATTTCCTTAATTTCTGGGGTGGTGTGACCTCCAGGCTCATCTTCTGTGTTCCCTGCTCCAGACCTGGGACCAGGCATTTCTCTGAGGAGCCTTCCTTCCTGTTGCTGGAGAATGGCATTGAGCAGGCGTCATGATCTGGGTGTTCTGACTCACCACCCCCAACCCAGCTTGTCCTTGGTTGGGGTTTCCTACAGCCACCTGCACCTCTCAATCAGTTTCCCTCTCAGGCTCTCTGTCCACTCCCAACACAGTACTCTCTTCTGTGCCCTAGGCTTCACGGTACAATGGCCTGATAAACATTTCCACTTGGATCTTAAAGGAAGCATGTCTTTGTGGTGGCTGAATTGCATCCCCCCAACCAAAAAAATTCATATTTTGAAGTCCTAACACTCAGTAATTCAGAATGTGATGTATTTGGAGACAGGGTCTTTAAAGAAGTGATTAAGGTAAAATGAGATCCTTCCAGTGGACTCTAATCCAACCTGACTGATGTGTTATAGGCAGAGGAGATGAGGTCACAGACACACACAGAGGGATGACCATGTGAGCATACAGGGAGAAGACAGCAATCTGCAAGCCAAGGAGAGAGGCCTTAGAGAAACCAACCCTGCCAACACCTTGATCTTGGACATCCAGCCTTCAAGACTGTGAGACAGTAGATTTCTGCTGTGTCAGCAACTCCACCCACAGCCCATCTGTGGTCCTTTGTTATGACAACTGGAGCAGATGAATGTAATCCTTAACAGAACTCATGCCTTCCCTCTGCCTTGCTTCTTGCCTTAGTGTGCCCCCCCTCAGGAAATGGTGCCACCATTCAGCCATTTGTTTGTGTCTGTCCTATCAATACTTCTTCTTCATCTTCTTCTTCCTCTTCCTCCTTCTCCTCTCCTTGTCCTCCTCCTCTTCTTATTCTTCTTCGTCCTCTTCTTCTTCTTCCTCTTCCTCTTCCCCTTCCTCTTCCCCTTCTCCTTCTCCCCCTCCCTCTCCTCCTTCTTCTCCTTCTCCTCCTCCAAGTTCTCCTTCTCCTCTTCTTTATTTTCATTTTCATTTTTAAAGCTGGAATAATTCTATAAAGAGAAAGTTTCCTCACAGACATTTTGTTATTTTGACATCTCATTTGTATAGGAAAAGCAGGATTAAAATGTTTGATTCTTTTTTATTTTCTAGTTTTCAGAATAATGAGTTGGCTTCTTAGCATCCTTTAAGTGTGGCAAAGAAATTTTTTTTAAAGTATTATTATGGACTCATGGGAATAAACATATTTTATGTACTTCAAATTGTTGCAGTTATTTTTACTGATGTTCAAATGGTACCATCCTTGGTAAATGGGAGATTAACAAGGTGCCTCCTGAACTCATTTCGCATGGTTCCAGTGGACCTCATAAGAGGCTTTTCTCTTTCTATAACAAGATATTCCAGGATTGTCCTATATATTTCCTGCTCAGATCTTGAAATGCACCTCTCTTTAAGGGTTCTTAGTTTTTTTTTCCTGAGGAAATGGTAGTTAGAGACAACTTAGGTACTAGGCTAGGATGCTTATTGCTGTTGTGTTGATTTTTGTCATTTGGCCTTTTCAGTAGACAGAGCAAGGAAATAGAAAAATAAAATATAAAGATTAAATACATCATGAATCCAAACTGCTACTTCAAATTTAAATTTAAGTGATAGACTTTCCCCCCATTTTTTAGAACAGTAATCTCTCTCTCTCTTTCTCTCTCTATATGTAATATTGTATACAATTTACCATTTAAGCCATTTTAAGTATACAATTAGTGTCATTAATTACTTTCATAATCTTGTGCACCATCACCACTATTTATTTATGGTTGTTTCATCATCCCAAACAGAAACTCTACTCATTAAGTAATAATTTTCTATTTCTCCTCCCCCAGCCCCTAGCAACCTTTAACTTAACTTTTTGTTTTCAGGAATTGTCCTTTTCTGGACATTTCATATAAGTGGAATCTACAGTATTTGTTCTTTTGTGTCTGGCTGATTTCACTTAGCATAATGTTTTCAAGCCTCATCCATGTTGTTGCATGTGTCAGAGCTTCATTCCTTTTTATGGCTGAGTAATAAATATCCCACTGTAGGCATAAACAACACTTCATTTATCCACTCATCTGTTGACGGGCACTTGGGTTGTTTGCCCCTTTCGGCTGTCGTGAATAGTGCTGCAATGAACACTGGCGTAGAAGTATCTCTTTGAGTCCTTGTTTTCAGATTTTTTGGATGTATACCTAGGTGTAGAATTGCTGAGTCATATGGTAATTCCATTTAGCTTTTTGAAGAACCACCAAACTGTTTTCCATAGTGCTGCACCATCTTACATTCCCACCCACAATATCCTAGCATTCTGATTTCTTCACATTCTTGACAACATTTGTGATTTTTTTCCCTTAGTCATCCTAACCTGTATGAATTGATATCTCATTGTGGTTTTGATTTTCATTTTCCTAATAATTAGTGATGTTGAGCATCTCTTCAGGTGCTTACTGGCCATTTATATATCTTCTTTGGAGTGTTGACTATTCAAGTCCTTTGACAATTCTTTGATTGGGTTGTTTGTCTTTTTGTTGTTGAGTTGAAGGACCTCTTTCTATATTCCCAAGTCCCAGCTGGTCCTCAAAGGTCCAATTTCTTCAATCAGTAAATAGCGAGAAAAAACAAAACGAATGTAAATGAAATCTAGATATTAAAATCTTATTATCTGATTTGAACATATTTTCTCCTGGTCTGTAGGTTGTCTTTTCACTTTCCTGATAATAAGCACTGATGCACAAAAGTTTTTAATTTTGATGAAGTCTAATTTATCTATTTTTTGCTGTTGCTTTTTGGTGTCATATCTAGGAATCAAGTGCCAAATCCAAGATTATGAAGATTTATTTCTTTGTTTTATTCTAAGACTTTTATTAGCTTTAGTAGATGCTTAAATTATAATTTTCCATTGTATGAGTCAGGATAAGTTATACTGTTTTGCAAACAACAAACCCTGAAATCTCAGGATATTAACACAATTAAAAATTATATATTGTTTGGCACACAATGCACTATGGATTGGGCAATCCTCCTCCATCTTGTAGCATGGAGTAAAAAAAGCCTTTGAGAGATGTTTTAAAGACCACCCTTGGGCTGGGCATAGTGGCTCATGCCCATAATCCCAGCACTTTAGGAAGCTGAGGCAGGCAGATCACCTGAGGTCAGGAGTTCGAGAGCAGCTGGCCAACATGGTGAAACCCCGCCTCTACTAAAAATACAAAAATTAGCCAGGCATGGTGGTGTGTGCCTGCAGTCTAAGCTACTTGGGATGTTGAGGCAGGAGAATTGCTTGAACCCGGGAGGTGGAGGTTATAGTGAGCCGAGATCATGCCACTACACTCCAGCCTCCAGCCTGGGCAACAGAGCAAGGCTCTGTCAAAAACAAACAAACAAAACCCAAAAAACCCCCAAAAATCAAACAAACAAACAAAAAAACCCACACCTGGAAGTATGTAATTTTCACCTATTTCCCATCAACCGGAACTCAGTCACATGGTCTCAACCTAACTGCAAAGGAGGCTGGGAAACGTAGTCTTTCTGCCTGCCTACGTGACTTTTAAATTAATAAATTATTGGAAAACATCATTTAATCAGGCATGTTATTTTTGCTTTTTGTGTCCTTGAAAATTATGAGATGATAGCCCAATTCATTCATGTTGCAAATACAAGACAGTTTATTGGTATTAATTTTAATATTTTATAATTTATGTTAGTTGCTATTTTCTAGCAGGGAAACCAGCACGCATTAGAGCTAATGACATTCTGTAACTGAGAATCAGGCAGTCCCCTTATTGAGGGAAAGTCTGGGAAGTGTTTACAATGCCCTTTAGACAGCAGCCTGCTACCAGATAAAGAATGTGAAACAGTTTTGTTACTTTTGGCTCAGAGGAAGCTCTCTTTATAAATGTGTTTTGAAAGCTGGAAACAGAACAAAAGCAAAGAAGAAAACAGTGACAGGAACGAAAGGAAGAAAAGAATGGAGATGAGGGGAAAGAAAAGAGAAGGGGATGGGACAGACAGAGAAGAAGAAAAGGGGGAAGGCTACAGGACTGCAAGAGGTTTGCTCGCTTGCTGCTGTGTCTGTCTCAACACAGCACCCAAGCCAGGACAGAAGAAGGCAGAGCTGAGCACCGCTACATCCTGGTGCGTTGTTGAGAGAAAGCTGTGATCAGATCTTGAGAACCTCATCACAGCATGCTTGTCATTTTCAAAAAAGAGACATGTGGCCGGGCGTGGTGGCTCACGCCTGTAATCCCAGCACTTCGGGAGGCCGAGGTGGGCGGATCACGAGGTCGGGAGATCGAAACCATCCTGGCTAACACGGTGAAACCCCGTCTCCACTAAAAATACAAAAAATTAGCCGGGCATGGTGGCGGGCGCCTGTAGTCCTAGCTATTTGGGAGGCTGGGGCAGGAGAATGGGGTGAACCCAGGAGGCGGAGCTTGCCCTGAGCCGCGATTGTGCCACTGCACTCAGCCTGGGCGACAGAGCGAGACTCCGTCTCAAAAAAAAAAAAAAAAAAAAAAAGAGAGAGAGAGAGAGACATGTTAGGAGGTCTTGATTAATACAAAGTTATCTCAGAACAGAGTATGAATCCAATGGCCGCCAGAGGAAAGACAGGGCTATGTGCCCTTGGTCACCAGGGCAAACAGTGCCTCCATGCCAGGCGAAAAGCAAATCATGTGGGACCTCTTGCTTCAGTCACGCGGAGGATTCTCCCTGTCCAGAATGTGAGCCTGCAGTAGATGTGGACCATAGGGAATGAGCATCTACTGAAGGTCAAGCAAATTTATACAACTGGAGCATTTTATTGGGAAATCACTGGGGCTCTTCGATCTGCATCATGGTTAAATTAGTACAAAATGTGGTGAAAAGCTGTGCCCCAAGGGCAAGAGAACACAACCCTTATGTTCCCTTATGCTTTTGCAAGCTTAGATTCCTGGTGTCTCTAGTCTGTGGGTATTAATGAGGTCAGAATTCTCATGACAGTTATTTTCTTTGGTTCTTGCACATACCTGCATAATACAGAAGGTCTCTCCTTTGCTAATGCCTGCCCACCGCAGAGACTGTCCACCCTGTGCTCATAGGTCATCCTCATACTTTTCCCTTCTATATTCATTGAGCTCTGTCATTTGAGAAGCCTTTAGAGGGTGCAGCTGTCACCTGGGAGAAAGTTGATGTCAGACGTGACATCTCCCAGGGTTTCCACATCACAATCCACCCAGCACGAGCACTGCTCAATGTTCCTGGACAAGAAGGTATCATCTCACAAAATTATTCATGCAAATAGAATCACTTGACTATCCCACCTGCTCACCCGATTTTCCTTTATAGTTTGAATCCTGGCTGAGTCCCAAGAAGGACCCTGTTATACAACTAGCACATTCTTAGTTTTGAGCACTCTGTGTTCTGTAACTTCTTGCATTATAAACCAAACTAACATGATTTTCTGCCTCCCCTGATTTCACTGGTGCCGTCATCATTCATCGAGAGGTTGATTTGCAAAGCTTTTCTCTGGACACATGGAGAAGATGACACGCTGGCCAGCCACAGGGAAGCATGTCCCGTGTCTGCCACTCATATAAGCTCTTCAATATATTGTCTCTGTTTATCATCACATATACATAATGAGTTATCATCTCTCCTGTTTTGTAGCTGATGAACACATTTCCAGGTCTCAGCAGTGAGTAAGGGGTTGGATTAAGCACCATGCTTTTCACTGCTATTCCTTGCTGTCTTCCTGCTCTGAGTTTATCTGAAACACAAAGGAGAGAGAATAAGTGTCTACACTGTGGTTTTCCAAACTGACCTCCTTCAATGTACCTAAGAAAGAAGAAAGAGTAATCATCTTATTATCAGAAAATGATTCTAACTATTGAGCTGCTGATATGTATTATGAACACAAATCTCAGCCCCCAAACTCAGATGTGTAGGTTTTTAAAAAATCACCTGTAATTCAACTTAGTATCTACTTCAGGCCTCATTCCCCTGAGCTGGTGGAGCAGGGTAGTTCCATCTCTTTTGGGGTCCCCTCACTGTGGAGGTGGGTGAAATTTGTGGGGCTTGTGTAGTGACCCACTCTCAAGGTGGTGGTTGGTGCCCAGTTGATCTTTGTCATCTCTATACACAGGTAATAACTTGGTCTTGGTCTTAGTCATTGTCCTGGGATGGGGTGTAAAAACATGTGTTGTTTTATGCCCCGCATTCAGGCACACCAGTCTTTCCAAGGATGGCAAGACAGGCAGGCTTCCATGCGGCCAGGGCTTTGCTATTTCTCTGTAGGTTGCTGGAAGGCCTGCACAGCCATGGCTCCTTCACCAGAGCAGCTCCCCTGCATCCACCCAAACCACTCTCCACAAAAGCCAGAAAGCCTGGAAGCAATGAGACCAAAATGGTCCCTCTGCTCGAGTAGGAGGAAAAAAGCAAAGTGAAAACCTACCCAGCCACATAAATTAAAATTTTTCCAATTATTATAAAATGCTTTTCTTCCTCCCTCTTTCTCTTTATCTGTGCATACTCTTGGGGTTTAGCTCTCTTCTAGAAACTTTCCCTAATTGCTATGGTGCCAGAAATATTCTTTTCTCTGAACTTCCATTTTTCAATTAACATCTGACACATCTTTTATTAGCTTAAAAAAAAGTTAGTGTCTTGTCTCCCTAACAGATTGTGCTCCCCTAGGTCTGGGGCTGTGTCCAACTTCTTTATCCGCCCCCCCCTTTTTTTTCAATACCTAAACAGTGCTAGGTATAGGGAGTAGCCTAAAGAAAAGTGTGTTGAATGTTTAAATTACTAAATAGGTACATGTTCAAATGCACAAATAGGCTACACGTTGTATTATTTGATTTTTTTCAAATAATACAAGAGTGTATAAAGTCATTTCCAATTCCTTCTTTATCACTGGAAATATTCTTTAATCTGAAATCAACTTTGTCTGATATTAATATAGCCACTTCAGTCTTTTTTTTTTTTTGAGACAGAGTCTCCCTCTGTCACCCAGGCTGGGGTGCAGTGGCGTCATCTTGGCTCACTGCAGCCTCTGCCTCCCAGGTTCAAGTGATTCTCCTGCCTCAGCCTCCTGAGTAGCTGGGATTACAGGCACTCATCACCATGCCTGGCTAATTTTTGTATTTTTAGTAGAGATGGGGTTTCACCACATTGGCCAGTCTGGTCTTGAACACCTGACCTCAAGTCGTCCGCCTGCCTTGGCTTCCCAAATTGCTGGGTTTACAGGTGTGAGCACTGCCCCCGGCCATCCAGTCTTTTTTTGAGAAGGGTTAGCACAGTGTATCGTTGTTGAACATTTTAATTTTAATCAGTTTGTCTATTTATATTTAAAGAGAATTTCTTGTGTTTATTAGGTCTTGTTTTTTTGATTCAATATGACAATCTCTGACTTTTTATTGTGGTGTTTAAACCGTTTATACTTAATATGATTATTGCTGTGGTTAGGTCTAAGTATCTCCTCCTGCTATTTGCTTTCTATTTGTAACGTTTATTCTGTGTTACCCTTTTCCTCTATTTTTGCCTTTTTAAAAGTTAATTGAAAATTTTTATGATTCCATTTTATCTTCTTTGTTGGATTTTAGCTGTAACTCCTTGTTTTGTTCTTTTACTAGTTGTTATAGGGTTTAAAATATTTAACTTAATATAGTCTACCTTCAAGTCATATTATACAGGTTCACTGACAGTATAAGAAGCTTAAATAATATACTTCTATTTGCCCTTTTCCACCTATATAGTCTTTATGGTTTTGTTGTCATACATTCACTTTTATGTATGTTACGAACTCCATAGTACATTGGTATTACTCTTGATTAAACAATTATATTTTCAAAAGATTTAAATTCTAAAGTATATATATTTACCAATGTATTTAATAGTTATCATTTCTGGTACAGTTCATTCATATTCATCTGGTTTTCATTTCATTTTCCTTCTGCCTAGAAGACTTCTTTCAATATTTCTTATAATATGTGTGTAACTAGAGTCTGTAAAGGAGAGAGGTTGCGGGAAGGGCAGAAAAAATATTTGAAGAAATCATGACTGAAAAATCTCCAAATTTGATAAAATTATAAAGCCATAGATCAAATATGCTTAAGGAGCCCTTTGCACACGAGATATGAATGTCACATAAAACTGTCCTGCCACTCAGTGTTGCTATTTTGTGTTTTTCTTTTAAATTCTTTTTGTCTTTTTCATTTTGAATAGTTTCTATTGTTATGTCTTCCAGTTCACTTAAAGTTCAGTTTGGATCTTTTTTTAAAATCTTTTTTAAGAGACAGGGTCTCACTGTGTCCCTCAGGCTGGAGTACAGTGGAGCTATCATAGCTCATTGCAGCCTCAAACTCCTGGGCTAAAGCGATCCTCTTGTCTTGGCCTCCCAAAGTTCTGGGATTGCAAGTGTGAGCCACCACATCCCATCAATTTGGGTGTTTTTTAAAAAATATCTTTCATGTGTCTAGTTAAGTTTTTGAACTTCTGGAATACAGTTATAACAATGTTTTAATGTCCTTGTGTGCTAATTCTGACATCTGTGCCCATTCTGGGACTGTTTCAATTTGTTGATTTTTCTCTTCATTGCGGGGCTTTTTTTTTTTTTTCTTTTTTTTTTTTTCTTTTTTTTTTTTTGAGACAGAGTCTCTCTCTGTCGCCCAGGCTGGAGTGCGGCAGCATCATCTCGGCTCACTGCAAGCTCTGCCTCCCAGGTTCACGCCATTCTCCTGCCTCAGCCTCCCGAGTAGCTGCGACTACAGGTGCCCGCCACCACTCCCGGCCAATTTTTTGTATTTTTAGTTGAGATGGGGTTTCACCATGTTAGCCAGGATGGTGTTGATCTCCTGACCTCGTGATCCACCCGCCTTGGCCTCCCAAAGTGCTGGGATTACAGGCGTGAGACACTGCACCCGGCCCATTACGGGGCTTTTTTTCCTTCCTTTCATGCCTGATAATATTTGATGGGATGCCAAACACTGTAAGCTCTCTGGTGAAAACATAAAGGTTTTCTTGAAGTGAGGTTTGAACTGAATTTTGAAGGGTATATATGGCTTAAACAGTGAAATGAGGGGAAAAACATTTAAAGAAGAGGGACAAACGTGAAAGTAGCTGAGGCATAAAAGGCTATGTGTTTTTAAGAAAATAAAAGATTGCTGGGGTGACTAGGAGCAAGCAGTGAAATGGAGAATTGCATTCTATGTCTCTTGGGGTAAAGGGATGGGCAGACCATGTCCCACTGACTCAGGGGCTTTGTTAGGCATTTTGTTCTGTATCCTGTGAACAATAGTAATTCTTTAAGGGCTTTACTTAAGCTCAGATTTGCAGAAAAATCACTCTGGCTTCAATGTGAAGAACAGCTTGAATGAGCTTCAGAATAGAAGGGGTGTCGAGTTAGGAAGCCACTGTAGATTTCTGAGTGAGAGATGAGCATAGTTGGGGCCAGGATGGGAGCAGAGATGGAAAGAAGTGGGCTGACCTGAGATACAAGATGTGGGGTGACTCTTGACCCCTCCCGACTGCACCCTATGAGATCAATCACCAAGTTCATGTGAACGCTTTTCTAAGGGGAATATTATTTTCACAGAGTGAATACATTTTTTATTGATATGTTCATAAATATACTTTCTTACAGTTCTGACTATTGCATGTAGTACCTCAGAAAGGAAACCTATTTATTAACTTGTACCCAGAAATGACTCCTAGTGAATCTCTTCTGATATTTGCCCAAGAATTCCCCTAAAACACTCAGTAATGAAAAACCTCATTCCAAAGGCCTAGTTCAATATTCCTCAAACTGTAGTGTGCATGAGAATCACCTGACAAGCTTGTTCAAACAAATATTTCTGGGCCACATTCCCCAGAGTTTCTGATTCAGTAAGTCTTATTCAGTGACTTTTCACCTCTATCAAGTTCCTGGGTGATTTTGATGCTGCTGGCCCAGGGACCACTGTATGGGAATCACTGGTTAATCAGAAGCACTATAGCCAAGAGTGCTTCTCTTGGAGAAGGAAACACAGAAACTCTGTTCCTTTCCAGTGCTGTGACTTGGTCAAGTGACTCACCCCTCTGTGCCTTTGTTTCCTCATCTGGGTCTTGGTGAGGCTTAGAGTGAGGACTGTTGGAAAGCATTAGGACAGATGTATAAGGAGCATATACACGCTTTTATACGTAAGAAAATAAGTTCCATGTGCCTTGCATATTCTACAGTTCTCAGTGTATGGTGAGACAGATCCTGCTTTCAGTTCATCCTTGGTGAATGCTAGTCAAAATTCTATGTGATGTCACAACAGAAATCTTCAGTTAACAGTCGTGGAAAGGACTCAAGCTCTACTCCATCTCCACCTCCTTGGGTTTGGGTAAATTCTCAGCAGGATTGTGCATTAGGTGAGTGTCTGCTTCTCCCCTGGGTCCCCATAACTTTGCTTGCTCCTAAACAGGGAGTCACATCTGGGAAGAGACAGTAGATAATGGAGCCAGAGAGCTGACTCACCACGTGGGATGGCTGTGGGCAAGTTTCCCAGGTTGCACAAGCCACCGGGTTTTCTGAAACAGATGGAAAGACCGCCTCTGCAGGCCGCTGGCTGACTTCAAGATAGTCGTGCTGTATCAAGTGGTGTGAGAAGGAAAGACCCATAAGAGACTTTGTCATCCAAGTTTCAGATTCCCCTGGATTCCTTAGCGATAAGACATGCATGGCTCATTACATATTCTATTTATGAAATTTCTACGGGCAAAGACTCGAATGCCCTTTAACTGGGTGCGCACATGGGCATCGCATAGTTTTCCAGAGTAACCCAAGATACTGGGGTGGAGAGAAAAATGGAACCAGAAGACAAGCCAGCTTCTACCAAAGCCACCCAGCAGTCAGCCAGCCCAGACTCTCAAATCTGGACCTGGGGGTCAGCCCTAGGTAGACAGGCAAGCCATCTTTCAAAGGCTCCCATGTCCTCTTAATAAAGTGAGAGCCAGACATTAGCAATCATTCTCACAATTTTTAAAAACCATATTATCAGCTGTTATTTTAAATATCCCTAACCTAGTATAGTTAATAACAGAAACAGAAAACATTTAAGATTTTTAAGATATAAGAATTGAAGATCTTGAGTCAAGCTTTAAAATGAAAGTAACTTTGAAATGAGGTCAAAGTTAGAACATTCAGCAAGGAATCTTAATTAGAAAAGTATGACTGGGCAATACTAGAACAATTCTGAGCAAATGATTTTGCCACCAGGAATGGTAAATTCAAAGAAGGCAAATTAGCAGTAAGTTGCAGAGATGGCCACTTGAATGAAACACAAACAGGGTTAATTTTTTTCACTCGGTCAATTGCATTTCTCATACAAAGCTGAAAAATGCTCTCTTGTAATTCTCATTTTATAATAGCAATTCTTTTGTTTTGCATTGCCTGGCCATTGCAATCTGGACAAAGCAACTTTTCCATCCTATTTTAGTTCTCAAAGTATATTGATTTTTAATTTCCTGGAGCCAGTTTTCTACACAACAATATTTTATTCACTATGAGAAGTAGTGCCAGTTTTAAACATTTATAGACTTGTTTCTCCAGGGAAAAACATAAGCTAGAAAGAAAAACTAAAATTTCATTTGATGAGATTCAAATGGCAATTGGGGGTTTGAATGTAGAAGTGTTGTTTTCTTATCCAGAACAGTCACTGGAACTGCATTAAGGGAATGCTATCTGGTCAATTTTTGTTTACTTTCTGGAGATACGATATTTTCTGAGGATTCAAAACAAGTGGGAAATTGCCAAAGTCTTGCAAGCCTGATTTAAGAGACAGAAAAGAAGAGACAACATATAAAGTTTTCTCTTCGTGCATATGAACACACATATATCTTTAAGTTAATACATTAATGGATCATATTATAACATTTCTTTTCAAAAATTTTCTTTTTGTTCTTTGCTCTTCTTCTTCTCTTTCCTTTCCCAAACTTTCTCTCTGCCTTCTGCACAGGTAACTCATGATAACAGTATGTGGCCTATAATTTTCAGCTCACTCGCGCTTACCTGCATGTATGTGCACAGATGTTAGAGAGTGCTTTTCTTCATTTTTGTTAGAAATGGGATAATAAAACAGACTTTTTTTTTCTGCATTTGGTTTCATTTACTCTGTAATTGCTCATGGAAATCTCCCAGAGTCATCAATGTGGCTCTAATTCATTCTTTTCAGTGGCTGTGTAATAGGTTGTGGTGTGTATGAGCCAGAATTTCTTTCATCATTCCTCTGTCATTAGGCGTTTATTTGAGTTCCAGCTTTTTGCCACTGGGAACAATACTGCAGTAAATGCTTATGTCCTTGTGTTTTCATTGCAGTGGGGTAGATGGAGGTGGCTCTAGACATTTTAGTTCTGAGTTTAACCTCTTTTTGCTCATCTTTACTTGCTGTAGGGGCTGCAAAGATAAATAAAACTTAATCTTTATCAAGCCCTCATAGCTGAGAATGGCCATGGAGCTCAGTTTAAGGCAGGGAAGTGGCTTTGGCTGAGCCTCTTCTGATACAGGCTGAGCATGCCTAGTGAGAAAATCCGAAATCCAAAATGCTCCAAAATTCAAAACGCTTTGAGTGCTGATGTGATGCTCAAAGAGATGCTCATTGGAGCATTTCAGATTTTTGTGTTAGGGATGCTGAACCAGTAAGTGTAATACATATATTTCAAAACTTGAAAACAATCAAAATTCAGAGCACTTCTGGTCCCAAACATTTTGGGCGAGGGATACACACTCAACCTGTACCTCCGTCTTCCTGCTTGGAATGCAGCTGTTGCTAAAAGTGGCAGAGGTGAGAGAGAGAGAGAGAGAGAGAGAGAAATAAAGAAGGAGCCTGGTATGTATGATTTAGCCATGTTTCAACAAGTATTTCTGAGCATCTAATCACAAAGATATGGAATCATTCTAAGTGTCCATCAATGGATGATTGGATAAAAAAAATGTGTATATATATATGTAGGAATACTACTTAGCTATAAGAAAGAAGAAAATCATGTTTTGCAGCAACAAGGATGGAACTGGAGGCTGTTATGTTAAGTGAAACAGATCAGAAACAGAAAGTCAAATACCACATATTCTCACATAAGTGGGAGCTAAATAAAGTGTACACGTGGACACAGAGTGTGGAATAATAGGCATTGGAACTGGGAAGGGTGGGAGGGTGAGGAGAGTGAGGAATAAGAAATTACTCAATGGGCATGATCTACACTATTCAGGGGATGGTTTCACTAAAAGCCTGGATTTTATCACTATGCAATATAGCCACATAACAAAGCTTCACTTGTACCCCTTAAATTTATAAAAATAAGAAAGTGAAGGATAGAGATACCAAAGAAAGAGACATGGTCCCTGGCTTCATGAAATGTGTAAGTGCTTTGCAGGTGCAAGACGAGGTGGCATGAAGCCATGATGCACAGGGAACTAGAGCGATCTGGGGCAGGTGGCAATCACAGAAGCCCTAAAGGAGGGTAGTGTTGGTTAGGAATGGGAGGGAAGGAGCCTTCCAGAGAGAAGGAGTGCTATAGTGCTAGGACCTTGGCTTGTTTCTTGGAACAGAGGAAAGGTCAGCATGGCCAAAGCCCAGCACTGGAGGGGGCAGTCTCACTCTGTTGCCCAGGTTGGAGTGCAGATCTCAGCTTACCAAACAAGGGTTTGGCCTTGTTGGTCTTTCAAGGAACTTGAACTTTCCCGTTAGTGAGGAAGACAGGTAGCGGTTTCTGGAGGCAAGCGTGAGAGAGCCCTTGTGAACATATTGGGTGAGGGATGACACTGGGTTAGATCAACAAGGTGGAACTGAATTTCGAAAAAAGTTGATAGTTTTGAGATGTAGCTTTCCTTAATTTTAAAGATTATTATAAAACAATGGCTGCAATGAAAACTACTTTTTTTTTTTTCTGACTTGCCTGATCATCTTTTTAGAATAAACTAGAAGTGGCCCTCTGGATCAGAATTGATGCCTATTGAATGGAAAACCAAACATTGCATTTTCTCACCTATACATGGGAGCTAAGATATGAGGATGCAAAGACATCAGAATAATATAATGGACTTTGGGGATTTGGAGAGAAAGGTGGGAGAGGGGGCGAGGGATAAAAGACAACATATATGGTGCAGTGTATGCTACTTGGGTGATGTGTGCACCAAGATCTCACAAATCACCACTAAAGAACTTATTCACGTAACCAAATACCACCTGTGCCTCAATAACTTTTGGAAAAATAAAATAAAATAATAATAATTTAAAAAAAGAAAACAAAGAATGCCCATTAAGATGCTGCCACCCATGATCAGACTGCCGTCCTCAACTGCTATGTGGTGAGCACTCCCACAGAGCAGCAAGGATGGAGTCTCCAAGACCTTTGTCAGCACTGAGGGACTGTGGTCAGACTCGGACATCCCCAATCCAATGGTGGAAAAGAGAGTTTTGGTGGTATTTGGATTTCTTTTATTGGTACTATGGTTGAATTTCTCAGTAATATTACAACATCACAAAACACTCATTTGCCTTTAGGAGTTTATAATTTCTTAAAATGAAATGCATAATGGAATAAAATCGAAGAAGAATGAATTTAGGACTTTTCATCTTTTAAAACCACACCTCCCACTAGTCACCTTAGGATTTGCTCTTCTCTAGAGATGTAGTGTGCACTCGGAATAGGTTTAAGTTCACTTTCCATAGTGAAAAAGTGATGCCATCACATAAGGCTGATGGGGAAAATGCCTTCACACTTTTTTTTTTTTGAGACAGGGTCTCACTCTGTTGCCCAGGTTGGAGTGCAGATCTCAGCTTACCACAGTCTTGGCCTGCTGGGCTCAAGGGATCCTCCCACCTCAGCCTCCTGAGTAGCTGGGATTACAGGCGTCTGCCACCATGCTTAGCTAATTTTTGTATTTTTTGGTAGAGACAGGGTTTCACCATATTGCCTAGGCTGGTCTCAAACTCTTGGGTTCAAGCAATCCATCCATCTTGGCCTCCTGAAGTGCTGGGATTATGGGCATGAGCCACCATGTCTGGCCCATAGTCTTACTATTATGGCTACTAATTTCCTCACAGAGTTATAGTGGGGATTAAACAAGAGGCTATAGAGAGAGACCCTAGTACAACACTCACCCTTTAAAAAAATTTCCACCAAGTGCTACTTGCTTTTTCCTGTTATTTGTTTTCCAAATATACTCATAACAATATCTACAAACCAATGAACAAGTAGCTTCAATAAACCAAAGGAAAAAATTATGGCACTAGGTTTTTAAAAACATGCATGTCATCAGTAAAAGCAAGGTGAAATAACAGACATGTTAAATAATTTTTATATGAATAATTCAGTATGAACCAGGCATGGTAGCACATGCCTATAATCTCAGCTACTCAGGAGGCTGAGGTGGGAGGGTTGTTTGAACCCAGGAGTTTGAGACCTGCCTGGCCAATATAACGAGATCCCGTTTCAAAACAACAATAAAATGATTCAGTATGAATTCGGCTTATCTTCTTGTTGGGCTACAGAAATGAGCAAAAGAGACAATTAGCTTAGAAAATACTGAATGTATGGACCATCTCATCCATCATCCAGTAGGCACTGACCAGGTTCTGGGCACTGTGTGATGCATGAACACATTTCTAGTTCTGAGGTAGGCCTGTTAGCTAACAATGCAAAAATGAACATAAACCCAAAAATACCAATACAAACGCCCAGATTACACCAAAGCTCTGACACCTTGCCTAGTCCCATGTCTGTCCGCAGACAATTATCACTGGTGGTGACCTGAAGCATGGAGTTGTTAATATAAATCCAAAGTTTGTAAATTATTTACACATATGTATGTGTGTGTTTATATGTATGTATATGTGCCTGTGTATATATGTATATACATGTTATTGGTTGGGTGTAGATGTGTGTATACACACACACAACCAATAGCACCTAGTAGAAATGAGGAAAGTTTTTGAGAAAAGAATGTCAATTCCTTTCTCTCAAGACAAGTATTTTTATTCCTTTGCAGTTTTTAGAAAATTCATTGCTTCTCAAACACCATTCTTCAAGTATTTAAGTTAATACCAATCAGATTGAAAGGGATTCCAATGTAGAAAAGTAAACAGGAACATGGGACCCACAAGGAGTGTTTGTGCACAGTGAACGTAAAGGCTTGGGGTCAAAAGTTTCAGGAAATGCTTCAGCCTCCAAGCTCCTGGCCACCCAAGAGGCACAGCCTGGGAGAATCATGTCAGCATCATTATCCTGAAGCCACTGGCCTCGTTAACATTATTAGGGCCTGCTGGCATCTGAACCCAGGGAACTGATTCAGTTATAGATGAACTAGTCTGAAAACATCCTCAATGAAGCATCTGTCCCTTTTGGTTTTTTTTCTTTAGGTGCCTTTAAAATTAGTGAGAAAATAGTCAGGCTGCTGTGTTAACCTCACACGTCAGGAGCATAGTTACATTTCCACATACTTATTGTTTTTCCAGAAGTTCAGAGAAAGGCACATGTTCATTAGTGATCTTGGAATCACTTCTCAGGCCTGGAGATAATAAACGATTCTGTCATACGCTCTAGGGACTTAGTTATTGCTCAAAACCTGGGTTTTCAATGGCAAAAAACATGACACACAAATTAAAGAATCATTTCTGGCCAGCTCCCAATGTCATGCCATCCAAAAGGAGATTTGCTTGTCAAGAGTTTATGTTCTCTCGGTTCCATTTGGTGGATATGGCAGGAGGCCAACCGTGCAAGTCAGTTCAAAGCAGTAAGGGAGGAGCTTCACTGTGTTCAGTCAAGACAAACGGGAGGTTGGCCTTTTGACCTGGGCGGCCAACCTCAGTGTGTGAGCAGGGAAAATGGGATGAGTGTGGAGTAGCCCTGATGTCCTTTTTACATAAAACCCTCTTGCTGACAGTAACCCACACATGAGGGAGGCTAAGCAGTTAGGGAAAGTTCAGTTGGGGCGCTGAAAGATAGCTTCCAGGTGGGTTATACAACACAGAAGGTTGAGTTTTTTGTAGGTAACTTTAATAATTCAACTTTTTTTGAGAACATGTTATTACAACATGTTTTTAAATTGGTACTTTTGAAAGGTTTACATATATAGGTTTAAAAGGTAAATGTAAGCATACTTCTTTAAAGATGCAATTTGTGGTGTTTTCTCCAGGGAATAGAAGTGTTCAACAAAGAAAGAACGTTGGGATCAAGAGAATAATTCAACTTTTTATTCTAGATTATCAGTTTGATTTGGCTTACCAATTATGGAAATAAATTCTAAATAATTTTGCACTGATGTGCTTTTTCCATTATTGTGTTAGTATAGGAGGGGGATATTTGGGATAATATTCTTCATGGCTGTTCCCGTACAGAAATGAGTGATTGCTAATAAGCATCCTCAAGCCTGCACATGCCCATGAATGCCCATCCTTCAGATGGCTCTCTAGGAGGCTGAGCTCACCTGTCAAAGTTGCTAGCATGGCTCACAGCACTGCTGGAATCCTTTCTGGGAATTCCCTTCAGAATACGCATGACAGGCCTGTAATCCCAGCACTTTGGGAGGCTAAGGCAGGTGGATCACTTGAAGTCAGGAGTTGAAGACCAGCCTGGCCAACATAGTGAAACTCTGTCTGTACTAAAAATACAAAAATTAGCTGGGTATGGTGGCATGGGCCTGTAATCCCAGCTACTAGGGAGGCTGAGGGAGGAGAATCGCTTGAACCCGGGAGGTGGAGGTTGCAGTGAGCTGAGATCACATGACTGCACTCCAGCCTCCAGCCTGGGCGACAGGGTGAGACTTCCTCTCAAAAAAAAAAAAAAAAAAAAAGAATACGCATGACAGCTTCAATTGCCAACAGTTCACCTTTGTTCTCTAAGATGAGTTTGAATCTAAAAATCAGTCAATTATCAGTAGGTGTCAAATCTTATTAAGAAAGCTAGTCATGAAGCAGGGTAATCAAATAGAAGTAGAAAAAACTGACTGCTCTTTCATCCATGACCTATAAGCTGGTTGAGAAGTTGGTTCCATGTGAGGAAGCTAGTATTTATGGTACCACATTTGGAAGGGAGGGTCTCCAGCAGGTATTTAGTAACTACCATTTCACTGTCAGAATTTGATGTGTACAACTCATTTAAAGAGTCTGATGCTCCATTTAAAGAACACTCCTGGCCCAATAGGGTGGCTCATACCTGTTGGGGAGGCTGAGGTGAGAGGAGCACTTGAGGCCAGGAGTTTGAGACCAGCTTGGGCAACACAGCGAGACCCTGTCTCTACAAAAATAAAAAAGAAAGTATCTGGGTATAGTGGCGTGTGCCTGTGGTCCCAACTACTTGGGAGGCTGAGGCAGGAGGATCACTTGAGTTCAGGAGTTAGAGGTTACAGTGAGCTATGATTGTGCCACTGCACTCCAGCCTGGGTGGCAGAAACCCTGTCTCCCTGTCTCTTAAGAAAAAAAATAATAAATAAAAGGAACACTTCTACCTTGCAGGAGAGCTGGGAAGCAATTTGGCAATGAAGACTTTAAATATCTCAAGAATACCATGAAACAGGGCCAGTTGCAGGTTGAGTCCTGTGTCTGGGCCCTAATTTCCTTGTGACTGGGCTCCTGGTGATCATGCAGTTGTCTTCTGGATGAAAGGAGCTGTCTGCGGAGAGATCTCAGTGGCCACCTGAAGATAAAGGGAAGAGAGTCTTCAGGGCCCCAACCCAACTTCAACCAGAGTACCTTTTCTTTCATTAATTTGATGGGCTTTTTCTTAATTAAAAAAAACTTTTAATTGTTGTGAGCATATTTTGTGTGTGTGTGTGTGTATATATATATGTATATATATACACATATATGTGTATATATACATATATATACGTATATATATACATATATACGTATATATACACATATATATGTATATATACATATGTGTATATATACACATATATATACACACACACACACACACACACGGGGTACATGAGATGTTTGGATACAGGCATGCAATGCATACTAATCACATGATGGAAAACGGAGATATTCATTCCCTCAAGCATTTATTCTTTGTGTTACAAACAATCTAATTGTACTTTGTTATTTTAAAATGTACAATTAAATTATTATTGACTACTGTCACCCTGTTTTGCTAGCAAATACTAGGTCTTATTCATTCTTTCTATCCCCTCCTACCCCCCAGCCTCCTACTGCCCTTCCCAGCCTCTCGTAACCATCCTTCTATTTTCTATCTCCATGAGTTCAATCATTTTGATTTTTAGATCCCACAGATAAGTGAGAAGATACGATATTTGTCTTTCTGTGCCTGACTTACGTTACTTAACATAATGACTTCCAGTTCCATCCATGTTGTTGCAAATGACAGGATCTCTTTCTTTTTTGTGTGTCTGAATAATACTCCATTGTGTATACGTACCACATTTTTTTTACCTGTTCATCTGTTGATGAACACTTAGGTTGCTTCCAGATCTTGGCTATTGTGAACAGTGCTGCAAAAAACACAGGAATGCAGTTATCTCTTCAATATATTGATTTCCATTCGAGCATGTGCCCAGCAGTGGGATTACTGGATCATATGGTAGCTCTATTTTTAGTTTTTTGAGAAACCTCCAGATTGTTCTCCATAGTAGTTATACTAATTTACATTTCCACCAACAGTGTATGGGATTTCCTTTTCTCTACATTCTTGTCAGCATTTGTTGTTGCCTGACTTTTGGGTAAAAGCCATTTTAACTGGGGTGAGATGATATCTCATTGTAGTTTTGGTTTGCATTTCTCTGGTGATCAACGATGTTGAGGACCTGTTCATATGTCTGTTTGCCATGTGTATGTTTTCTTTAGAGAAATGTCTATTCAAATATTTTGCCTTTTTTTGATTGGATTGGTAAATTCTTTCCTTTAGAGTTGTTTGAGCTCCTATATATTTTGGTTATTGATCCCTTGTCAGAGTGGCAGTTTGCAGATATTTTCTCCCATTCTGTGAGTTGTCTCTTCACTTTGTTGATTGTTTCCTTTGCTGTGCAGAAGCTTTTTAACTTGATGTGTTCCCATTTGTCCATTTTTACTTTGGTTGCTTGCACTTATGGGGTACTATTCAAGAAACCTTTGCCCAGACCAATGTCCTGGAGAGCTTCCCCAGTGTTTTCTTGTAACAGTTTCACAGTTTGAGACCTTAGATCTAAGTCTTTAATCCATTTTAATTTGATTTTTGTATATGGCAAGAGATAGGGGTCTAGTTTCATTCTTCTGTATATGGATATCCAGTTTTCCTGGAGCCATTTATTGAAGAGACTGACCTTTCTTCAATGTATGTTCTTGGCACCTTTGTTGAAAATGAGTTCACTGTAGGTGTGCGGATTTGTTTCTGGGTTCTCTATTCTGTTCCATTGGTCTGTGTGTCTGTTTTTATGCCAGTACCATGCTGTTTTGGTTACTACAGCTCTGTAGTATAATTTGAAGTCAGGTAATGTGATCCCTCCAGTTTTGTTCTTTTTGCTTAGGATAGCACTGGCTATTTTGGGTCTTTTGTGATTCCACATAAATTTTAAGATTTTTTTTTTCTGTTTCTGTGAAGAATGTCATTGTTATTTTAATAGGGATTGCATTTAATCTGTAGATAGCTTTGGATAATATGGACATTTTAACAATATTTATTCTTCCAATCCATGAAAATGAAATATCTTTTCATCTTTGCTGTCCTCTTCAATTTCTTTCAGTCCCCTCACCTCATGGATTGAATCCCAGGCCACCACACAGGAGCCAAAGAGGCCAGGCTCCTCCCTCCTCCCTGTGGCTCTGCCCCATTCCCCCAGGGTTCACGTGGGCATGCTCAGACAAGGCCCTGGGCAGGTTCCCTCATCTGCACAAAAGCACCTGATGTAAACACTTGTGGGGTAAGTCGGAAATTCTCTGAGGACCCCTTTTTATCTGCCTAGGCATTTGGCCTTCTCATTTGCATGATGTTAAACATTATCTTTGTCACCTAAATAAACTGCAAGTTCTGTTAATGTTGCTCAGTCAGTCACTATTCATGAGTAGTGACCTAGACCTATATGGCCTAAGTCTGTGCAACCAGAGCCTAAATGCTCCTAATAGTGCAGCCTTCAGCCTCTGTCACTTCCTCAGGGAGGCGATTGCAGAGCTGGATAGATCCCTTCGATTGGCTCTTTTTTTTTTTTTAATTGATCATTCTTGGGTGTTTCTCGCAGAGGGGTATTTGGCAGGGTCATAGGACAATAGTGGAGGGAATGTCAGCAGATAAACAAGTGAACAAAGGTCTCTGGTTTTCCTAGGCAGAGGACCCTGCGGCCTTCTGCAGTGTTTGTGTCCCTGGGTACTTGAGATTAGGGAGTGGTGATGACTCTTAACGAGCATGCTGCCTTCAAGCATCTGTTTAACAAAGCACATCTTGCACCGCCCTTAATCCATTTAACCCTGAGTGGACACAGCACATGTTTCAGAGAGCACAGGGTTGGGGGTAAGGTCACAGATCAACAGGATCACAAGGCAGAAGAATTTTTCTTAGTACAGAACAAAATGAAAAGTGTCCCATGTCTACCTCTTTCTACACAGACACGGCAACCATCCGATTTCTCAATCTTTTCCCCGCCTTTCCCCTCTTTCTATTCCACAAAACCGCCATTGTCATCATGGCCCGTTCTCAATGAGCTGTTGGGTACACCTCCCAGACGGGGTGGTGGCCGGGCAGAGGGGCTCCTCACTTCCCAGTAGGGGCGGCCGGGCAGAGGCGCCCCTCACCTCCCGGACGAGGCGGCTGGCCGGGCAGGGGGCTGACCCCCCCACCTCCCTCCCGGACGGGGCGGCTGGCCAGGCAGAGAGGCTCCTCACTTCCCAGTAGGGGCAGCCGGGCAGAGGCGCCCCTCACCTCCCGGACGGGGCGGCTGGCCAGGCGGGGGGTTGACCCCCCCACCTCCCTCCCGGACGGGGCGGCTGGCCGGGCAGAGGGGCTCCTCACTTCCCAGTAGGGGTGGCCGGGCAGAGGCGCCCCTCACCTCCCGGACGGGGCGGCTGGCCGGGCGGGGGGCTGACCCCCCCACTTCCCTCCCGGACGGGGCGGCTGCCGGGCGGAGACGCTCCTCGCTTCCCAGACGGGGTGGCTGCCGGGCGGAGAGGCTCCTCACTTCTCAGACGGGGCGGCTGCCGGGCGGAGGGTCTCCTCGCTTCTCAGACGGGGCGGCCGGGCAGAGACGCTCCTCACCTCCCAGACGGGGTCGCGGCCGGGTAGAGGCGCTCCTCACATCCCAGACGGGGCGGCGGGGCAAAGGCGCTCCCCACATCTCAGACGATGGGCGGCCGGGCAGAGACGCTCCTCACTTCCTAGATGGGATGGCGGCCGGGAAGAGGCGCTCCTCACTTCCTAGATGGGATGGTGGCCGGGCAGAGGCTGCAATCTCGGCACTTTGGGAGGCCAAGGCAGGCGGGTGGGAGGTTGAGGTTGTAGCCAGCCGAGATCACGCCACTGCGCTCCAGCCTGGGCACCATTGAGCACTGAGTGAACCAGACTCCGTCTGCAATCCCGGCACCTCGGGAGGCCGGGGCTGGCGGATCACTCGCTGTTAGGAGCTGGAGACCAGCCCGGCCAACACAGCGAAACCCCGTCTCCACCAAAAAAATACGAAAACCAGTCAGGCGTGGCGGCGCGCGCCTGCAATCACAGGCACTCGGCAGGCTGAGGCAGGAGAATCAGGCAGGGAGGTTGCAGTGAGCCGAGATGGCAGCAGTACAGTCCAGCTTTGGCTGGGCATCAGAGGGAGACCGTGGAAAGAGGGGACAGGGACAGGGACAGGGACAGGGAGAGGGAGAGGGCGAGGGAGAGGGAGAGGACTTCCCAACACTTCTAAAGACTCTCGATTGGCTCTTAACTAAGAGCTTTCCATTTTATCTCTCTCCTTTTTGTCTCTTCAAATGAATACATTTCACAAAGGTATAGAAAGTTACTGTGGGAGCATCACTCTTCTTGTAAATGAAGGCAGCCATCACTGAAACATTGTTTAGAGCCACTTTGAGAGCAAAATGATGACAAATTTTAATGACAACAAATGTCAGCCTCAACCAGATATAAGCTCAAGAAATAAGAATACTCATCATTATTCTTATTTGTCAGCAATAAACAGCTGGAAAATAAAATGGCACCATGAAAATGAACTAATTAGGCATTATCTAATAAGAATGTATAAGACGTTTATGGAGGAAAAACTTAAGTCACTATTACAGGACATGAAAGAAGACCTAAATAAATGGAAAGATAAGCCATATTAATGGAGGGGAAGACATCATTTATCAAGAAGCTGATTTTTCAAATGTTTAATATAACTGCAAGGAAAATCCTAGCAGAATATCTAGGGAAACAAAACAGTGATTTTAGGCCAGGTGAGGTGGCTCACGCCTGTAATCCCAGAATTTTGGGAGGCCAAGGTGGGTGGATTGCTTGAGGTCTGGAGTTTGAGACTAGCCTGGCCAATGTGGTAAAACCCCATCTCTACTAAAATACAAAAATTAGCCAGGCAAGGTGGCGGGCACCTGTAATCCCAGCTACTAGGGAGGCCGAGGCAGGAGAACTGCTTGAACCCAGGAGGCAGAGGTTGCAGTGAGCTGAGATCGTGCCATTGCACTCCAGCCTGGGTGACAGAGTTAGACTCTGTCTTAAAAAAAAAAGTGATTCTAAAATTTATTTGGAGAAATAGAGATTCTCCATTTTGAGCAAAGAGCCAAGGGGGTGGGTTAAGAAACACCTTACGCAATGTTTAGACATATCACAAAGACATAGTAATAAAACAAACCCCCAAACAACAGTGTGGTACAAAGAAAGGATCATGCAAAGAGACCAGTGAAACTGAATGGAGGGCCCAATAATAGTTCCAAGGGTTCATGTATATCTTTTACATATGAGGTGACATCACAGCTTTACAAGAAAAGGTAGATTATCCAGCAAATGTTGATGGAAAAATTGGCTTTCTAAACTGAGTAAAATAAAGCTGCATCCTGATATTGTGCCATATTTGAGCAATATGGGTATAGACCTAAATGCAAAAGGTAAGACTGTAAAGTAAATGAAAGAAAAAATAAAATATTTCAGCAATCTTGGATTGTGAGATGGTGTTTTAAACAAGGCCCTGAAAGCATGAAGAGTAAGGCCAAAATTTAATAAATTTTACTGTATCAAAATTAGAAAATTTTTCTTCCACGAAGAACATGAAATCTGTTCCATGACGTTAACAGAAAGAACACTGGTAGGTGTTTGTAGTGTCTAAATCAGTAAGATGATTAACATTTAGAATACATGAAGTATTCATACATCAACAAGGATAAAAGACAAGAAACAGAGAAATCAGCAAAGGATATCATTAGGTTAATTTACAGAAGGAGCACTCTAATAAGACAAGATGTCATTCTCACTAACTGTGAGAAAAATCCAATTAATTCAATTCGGATTAATCTATTATAATCAAAGTAGTAAAAATGTAATAGTTGACTAATAAAAAGATCTCTATTTGCAATGCATTTAACCATCTCTCCTTTTCGAAAACCTACTAAGATCACATAAATGTATAGTTTTACGTTTAAATCTTTACTAAAATGAACAAATAAATGAATGAGTAAATAAGTAAACAAGATCTACCTACAAGAACAAAGAGAACAAAAGAAAAGAAAATGCAGATAAAAGACACCAACATTTTGGAAGATGTAAATTGGGTGGAGGATGTAGCTGACCTAACAGAGAAGATGAAATGAGCATCCAGTGCCTGCAGGGGGTGATATTGATGAAGAGTGAGCACATTTGCCTTGAAGAATCGCTGAAAGCTCCAAATGGAAGACAGCAGGTACTCTGGCAGGTGGGGTTGAGTGTGAGCCTGAACACAGCATGAAACCTGGGAAGTCTCTGTGAAGCAGCTGTGTTCCCTGGGTCCCTTTCTCCACCACCCCCTGCAGCAGGTGTCTGTATGTCTCCTGCCCTCTAGGATCCCAGAGATTTATTCTTGAGATGTTGAAATACAGAGGCTTTGCACATGAGGGCACTTAGACAAAGGAGCTACAGATATTGGTTGGGAGACCTCAAAGAAAATGCTGCCTTGTTTTGTTACAGTGAGGTGCACATACAGCACTTCTCATAAATCTTTTAGTGACTCCCTCAAACATAAATGACAGCAATAAAAACATCAAACATTTGAGGAAAACCTCCAATGTGAACAAGAAAGATCCACCTCCCCCATCCTTCTACCAAAAAAAAAAAAAAAAAAAAAGAAAAGAAAAGAAAAAAGAAAGGGGAATGGGTAAATCTATAGAGAAAGAAAAATTAGTAGTTGCCTAGGGCTGAGGGGATAGGTGTTGGGGGACAATGACAGGTATGTGCTTTCTTTTTGGGATGCTGAAATTTTTCAGAAATTGATTGTGATGATGGTTGTCTAACTGAACATACTAAAACCCATTGAATTGTACACCTTAAATGGGTGATTTGCATGTATGTGACTTATATCTCAACAAGAGTGTTATACAAGAACAATAAAAGACAATTAAGGGAAATACAATGAAAATACTTAAGAGTATAAGAAAAATTGGATTATATACAATTAAGAATGTCTTTTATGTCTTTTAATCAAAAGATGATTTGTGGAAAGACAAGTCAGAGCGCAGGAGAGGTGTTTGCTCTGTGATGTGTGATGTGTGTGTGTGTGTGTGTGTATAAATACACACGTATATGACAAGCGACTCTATCCAGAATATGTAAAGAACTCAGTAGGAAAAAGGCAATGAGATAGAAAGATGGTCAAAACAGTTGAACAGGAAGTTCGATAAGTAAAGCGTTCAAATCAATAATAAAAATATGAAAATTTCTCAACTTTGTTAGCCGGGGAAACTGAAAATCAAGATCTCAGTGTAATACTACTACACACCTACCACATGGGCTCCAATGAAAGTGATAAACAGTACCACATGGTGGGGACATGGAGCTGGCACAAGTTTAAGTTGGTTTATCCACTCTGGAAAGCCTTCAGCAGAATCTCCTAAGGCTGAAATATACATATCTTCTGACCATGCTATTTCACTCCCAGGTGTATTAGTGTGTAAATATGTTTACTAAGAGGCATATACCTGTTTCATGGCAGCACTATTCATAATAGCCCAAATTGGAAACAACTCCAAAGTCCATCAACAATAGAAATTTCCATTTCATACAAAAGAATATTTAACCCTGAGAAGAAAAATATAGATCTATCTCTCAAATTATTTTGAGGGAAAGAAATGCAAAAGTGTATGAACTGCATGATCCCATTGATATGAAATTTTTAAAAGTCAAAGCTTACCGATAGGTTTAGGAGGCAGGGTATTAGCTCCCCTTGGAGGGCACTGATGGGGACTGGGAGAGGTATGGGGCTGCTCTGGGGTGATGGTCTTGTCTCGTGATTAGGGTGCTGGTTCCATTGTGCATTTCATTTGAAAATTCACTGAGCTGTACACTCAGGATTTGTGTACTTTTTGTGTGTATATTATACCTTGACAAAATATGCATTTACAAAACTGTACTTAGAAAGATAATAGAAAATACTTTGTTCATTCAGAAAAACAGGGTGCTATAAAGCAATAATAAGAAAAACTTATTGGAAACAGAAAGTGAAATAAACATTAAAGATATAAATTATTAACAAATTGATCAATTCCTATCAAAGCCCCAGCAAGATTATTTTTGATAGACATAAAAAAGTTTATTCTAAAATTTATATGGAAAGGCACAGACCTTAGAATGGCTAAAACACCCTTCAAAAAAGGTAAAATGAGAGGAATCACTGTAGCCAATATTAAGTCTTCCTCTATAGCCACAGCGATGAAGACAGTGTAGAACTGACAGATGAGTAGAAACATTGCTCAATGGGACAGAACAGAGAACCCAGAAATAGGCCCATGCACACATGGCAAACTTATTTTTGATCAATGTACAAAAGCAATTCAATGAAGGAAGGGTAAACTTTCAAAAAAGATGCTGGAACTCCAGCCTGGGCAACACAGTAAAACCCTGTCTCTACAAAAAACACAAAAATTAGCTGGGTGTGGTGGTGTGTATCTGTAGTCCCAGCTACTTGGGAGGCTGAGGCGGGAGGATTAAGTGAGCCTGGGGAAGTTTAGGCTGCCATGAGCCATGCTCCACTGCACTCCAGCCTGGGTGACAGGGCAAGACTTTGTCTCAAAAAAAGAAAAAAAAAAAGATACTAGAACAATTACTTAGCTATTGGCCAGAAAAGAGAGAACCTTGACTTAAACTTTACATCTTATATAAAAATTAACTTAAAATGGATCTTGGATGCAAATGCAAACTATTAAAAAAACTTTTAGGAAAAAGCATAAAAAACCTTTGGGATCTAGGTCTTGGCAAAAAGTTCTTAGACTTGACACTGAAAGCATAATTCATATTAGGAAAAATTGCCAAATTGAACCTTACCAAAATAAAAAAAAACTTGCTTCGTGTAATATCTTGTTAGGAGGATGTACAGATCATCTACAGACTAGTAGAAAATATTTGCCAACTATATAGTGTCTGGATCATTCTACTATCTATAATATAATATAATATATAAAGAACTCTCAAAAGTCAACAGTAAAAAAACATTCAAATTACAAAATGGGTAACAGACACTTAATAATAAACACTTTATTGAAGAGAATATATGGATGGCAAATAAGCACAAGAAAATGTTAAACATCACTAGTCACTAGGGGAATATAAATACAAATTAATAGCACAGTGAGATATCACTAGACACTTATCAGAATGGCTAAGATAAATAATAATGACAAGAAAGATCAACTGCTAGCGGAGAAATTGCATCATTTGTACATTACTGCGAGAACATGAAATGATACAGTGACTTTGGCAACCAGCTTGGCAGCTTCTTATAAAATGATACATAAAATTACCACATGACCCAGCACTTTTGGGGATTTATCTCAGAGAAATGATAACATGGTGTTGCGGGTTGCCAGTCAGTAGTTATAAAAGGGCAAAATGAGAGATTCTTGTGGTTATGGAAAAGTTCAGTATCTCAACTGTGATGGTGGATACAGGAATGTATGCATGTGATAAAATTGCACAGAAATAAACATATGTGCATGCACACAAATGAGTACTAGTAACTGGGGTGATCTGAATATGATCATGGAGTGTATCTGTGTTAATCCCATAGTTACGATATTGTACTATAGTTATGCAAGATGTTGCCACTGGGGGAAGCTGGGCAAAGAGCACACAAGACCTCTCTGTATCATTTCTCACCACAGCTCCTACATCTAAAATAATCTGAAAAAAAATTTAGTTGAAGAAACTTATGTCTTCTTGACAGAAGATTGGCCAGGGTGGAAAGGAGACTGAGTAAATGGTAAGATAGGCCAGAAACAATGATCTAGAGTGCAGTGTGGAAGAGAAAGGAGAAGTGAAGGAAATAATAGATTCATCTTACTGGCCAGTTAGGGTCCCAGTGGAGAGGAGTGGGAAATTGGGGCAGAAGAAATATTTGAAGAGCTGATGCCTGAGAATATTCCCAAACTGATGAAACACACCAGTCTTTCCCAACAAATCCCAGGTGATAGTTATACAAAAAGACGTCCACACCCAGGCACAATATAACAGAACTGAAGTCTCCTAAAAGTGCTCAGGGCCAAGGCAGAACACTTGCAGAGGAGCAGTGCTTCTACCAACAGCTAACTTCTCTGTGTCAACCACTAAAGCTCAGAGACAATGTGAGGACATGACATGAAAATAACACTATGCATCTTTGTTAAGAAACTGCATCCATCCAAAAAGCATGATGATGAACTGTGAGAACATCTTAAAATACAATAGCAAAAGTGTGTATTAGACTATGGGTCCCCAGCCCTCATGCCACGGAATGCTAACGGTCTGTGTCCTGTTAGGGACTGGGCCGCACAGCAGGAGGTGAGCGGCTGGCAGGCGAGTGAAGCTTCTTCTGTATTTATAGCTACTTCCATGGCTTGCATTACTGCCTGAGCTCCGCCTCCTGTTAGATCAGTGGTGGCATTAAATTCTCACAGGAGCGTGAACCCTACTGTGAACTGTGCATGTGAGGGATCTAGGTTGCATGCTCCTTATGGGAATCTAACGCCTGATAATCTTTCACTGGCTCCCATAACCCCCAGATGGGACCATTTAGATGCAGGAAAACAAGCTCAGGGCTCCCACTGATTCTACATTATGGTGAGTTGTAAAATTATTTAATTATATATTACAATGTAATAATAATAGAAATAAAGTCTACAATAAATGTAATGCACTTGAATCATCCTAAAACCATTACCCCCACCCATCCCATTTGTGGGAAAATGGTCTTCCACAAAACCGGTCCCTGGTGCCAGAAAGGTTGGAGACTGCTGTATTAGAGAACAGAAATGGACCTGGTTGTGAGAGATGAAGGGGAAAAGTAATGAGGTCAAGTAAACCAAAGAGGAGTCTTGCAGGAGCCATCAGCAAGCATGTGCCATGAACGAGGGGACATGGTTTAGGCAGCTCTATGTATCTTAGCAAAGAAGAGAAAACAAAATAAAAGCAGTGAAGATTATTATAACAATTGAGACAATGAAAAGTCGTCTTAGTTTAGGTTCCCCTAGGAGGAGACTTGAGGCAAGCAGTTTGCTTAGAATGTGTATAAGTCCATTCTCACATTGCTATAAAGAAACACTCGAGACTGGGTAATTTTTAAAGAAAAAAGGTTTAATTGGTTCATGGTTTCACAGGCTGTGTAGGAAGCATGATGGCATCTGCTTCTGAGGGAGTTTACAATCATGGCAGAAGGCAAAGGGGCAGCCAGCACCTCACATGGCTGAAGCAGGAGGGAGAGAGAGAGGGGGGAGGTACCACACACTTTTAAATAGCCAGATCTCATGATAACTCACTCACCACACAGTACCAAGGGAGACTGATGCTCAACCAGTCATGAGAACTCTGCCCTTCTGATCCAATCAGTTCCTATGAGGCCCCACCTCCAATCCTGGGGATTACAATTCAACATGAGATTTGGATGGGGACACACGTTCAAACCATACCAGACGGTGATCCCAAGAGATGTTGGTGGTGCAGTAGGGAAGTGAGACAGGGAAGTGAGGAAGCCCATATAGGTGAGTTACCAAGCAAAACACCAAGGAGGGCAACTAGAGCTTAGCTTAGTTCGCAAGGGAGCTCCAGGAGCTGGTATAAATACCCCTGAGTTGTGTGCCCCAAGGAGCTGGGGAGTTGAGGTATTTACATACCACCCTCCATCTGTCTGGTTGGCAGTCGCTTCTAGATGTGCATTCCCCAGCACTCCTGGTCTATGGCACGCTTGGGCTGGGTGCACTCCACAAAGCCATTTAGTACATGGACTATACCAGTATGCACAGATGACTGGCCCCAGGAGCTGTTGGGGGCATGAGGGTACCTGCCACAGAGTGCCCACATTTGGAGAAAAACTCTTCCTGCATTTCCCTTCTCTGATTTCCACATCTCTAGAGTAACCATTATGAGCAGTTGTGTTTCCTCCCAGAATTGCTCCTGGCATATGCAAATTATAGGTACATGTACACATATGCAAACGCCTTCTCATGTGTACACAAGCATGTGTTTTGCTTATATTTTACAAAACGGAAACTCTGTATATTATTTTTCAACTCATTTAAAAAAATACCTCAACTATATATGGTCATTCTTCCACGTGTATTTCTGTCATTCTTTAGATTTGCAGACATTGCACAGAATGACTCAATAATTATTTATTAAATAGAGTCTTTAGGGATGGAATTGAAGTTGTCTCCATATTTTGCCTTTATAAACAATTAATGGCTTCCTGTCTATAGCCTGGAGGACGTGTGCATATGTTTCTGAACTATAAATTCCCGGAGTTAAATCACTGCTAATTACTCTCTAAAAGGTTGTTTCAATTTATGCTCCAATCCTTTCCCTCACTCTTTTCGTTCAATTTTTATTTTAAGTTCAGGGGTACAAGTGCAGGAAGTGCAGGATGTGTAGGTTTGTTACATAGGTAAGTGTGTGCCGTGGTGGTTTGCTGCACAGATCATCTCATCACCTAGCTATTAAGCCCAGCATCCCTTAGCTATTCTTCCTGATGCTCTCCTTACCCCACGCCCCCTCTGACAGGCTCCAGTGTGTTTTGTTCCTCCTATATGTCCCTGTGTTCTCATCATTCAGCTCCCACTTATAAGTGAGAACATGCAGTGTTTGGTTTTCTGTTCCTGCATTAGTTTGCTAAGGATAACGGCTTCCAACTCCATCCATGTCCCTACAAAGGACATGATCTCACTCCTTTTTGTGGCTGCATAGCATTCCATGGTGTATATATACTACATTTTCTTTATTCAGTCTATCATTTACAGGCATTTAGGTTGATTCCATGTCTTTGCTATTATGAATAGTGCTACAATGAATATATGTGTGCATGTATATTTATAACAGAATAATTTATATTCCTTTGGGTATATACCCAGTAATGGGATTGTTGGATCAAATGGTATTTCTGCTCCTAGGTCTTTGAGAAATCGCCACACTGTCTTTCACAATGGTTGAACTTATTTACAATCCCACCAGCAGTGTAAAAGGATTCTTTTTTCTCTACAACCTCTCTAGCATCTGCTGTTTCTTGACTTTTTTTTTTATTACACTTTAAGTTTTAGGGTACATGTGCACAACATGCAGGTTTGTTACATATGTATACATGTGCCATGTTGGTGTGCTGCACCCATTAACTCGTCATTTACATTAGGTATATCTCCTAATGCTATCCCTCCACCCTCCCACCACCCCACAACAGGCCCGGTGTGTGATGTTCCCCTTCCTGTGTCCATGTGTTCTCATTGTTCAATTCCACCTATGAGTGAGAACATGCGGTGTTTGGTTTTTTGTCCTTGCAATAGTTTGCTGAGAATGATGGTTTCCAGCTTCATCTATGTCCCTACAAAGGACATGAACTCATCATTTTTTATGGCGGCATAGTATTCCATGGTGTATATGTGCCAATTTTCTTAATCCACTCTGTCATTGTTGGGCATTTGGGTTGGTTCCAAGTCTTTGCTATTGTGAATAGTGCTGCAATAAACATATGTGTGCACATGTCTTTATAGCAGCATGATTTATAATCCTTTGGGTATATACCCAGTAATGGGATTGCTGGGTCAAATGGTATTTCTAGTTCTAGATCCCTGAGGAATTGCCACACTGACTTCCACAATGGTTGAACTAGTTTACAGTCCCACCAACAGTGTAAAAGTGTTCCTATTTCTCCACATCCTCTCCAGCACCTGTTGTTTCCTGACTTTTTAATGATCGCCATTCTAACTGGTGTGAGATGGGGTATCTCATTGTGGTTTTGATTTGCATTTCTCTGATGACCAGTGATGATGAGCATTTTTTCATGTCTTTTGGCTGCATAAATGTCTCCTTTTGAGAAGTGTCTGTTCATATCCTTCGCCCACTTGTTGATGGGGTTGTTTTTTTCTTGTAAATTTGTTTGAGTTCATTGCAGATTCTGGATATTAGCCTTTTGCCAGATGAGTAGATTGCAAAAATTTTCTCCCATTCTCTAGGTTGCCTGTTCACTCTGATGGTAGTTTCTTCTGCTGTGTAGAAGCTCTTTAGTTTAATTAGATCCCGTTTGTCAATTTTGGCTTTTGTTGCCATTGCTTTTGGTGTTTTAGACATGAAGTCCTTGCCCATGCCTATGTCCTGAATGGTATTGCCTAGGTTTTCTTCTAGAGTTTTTATGGTTTTAGGTCTAACATTTAAGTCTTTAATCCATGTTGAATTAATTTTTGTATAAGGTGTAAGGAAGGGATCCAGTTTCAGCTTTCTAGATATGGCTAGCTAGTTTTCCCAGCACCATTTATTAAATAGGGAATCCTTTCCCCATTTCTTGTTTTTGTCAGGTTTGTCAAAGATCAGATAGTTGTAGATATGTGGCATTATTTCTGAGGGCTCTGTTTTGTTCCATTGGTCTATATCTCTGTTTTGGTAGCAGTACCATGCTGTTTTGGTTACTGTAGCCTTGTAGCGTACTTTGAAGTCAGGTAGTGTGATGCCTCCAGCTTTGTTCTTTTGGCTTAGTATTGACTTGGCAATGTGGGCTCTTTTTTGGTTCCATATGAACTTTAAAGTAGTTTTTTCCAATTCTGTGAAGAAAGTCATTGATAGCTTGATGGGGATGGCATTGAATCTATAAATTACCTTGGTCAGTATGGCCATTTTCACAATATTGATTCTTCCTACCCATAAGCATGGAATGTTCTTCCATTTCTTTGTATACTCTTTTATTTCATTGAGCAGTGGTTTGTAGTTCTCCTTGAAGAGGTCCTTCACATCCCTTGTAAGTTGGATTCCTAGGTATTTTATTCTCTTTGAAGCAATTGTGAATGGGAGTTCACTCATGATTTGACTCTCTGTCTGTTATTGGTGTATAAGAATGCTTGTGATTTTTGTATATTGATTTTGTATCCTGAGACTTTGCTTTTAATAATAGCCATTCGGACAGGTGTGAGACAGTATCTCATTGTGGTTTTGATTTGCATTTCTCTAATGATCAGTGATGTTGAGCTTTTTTGCATATGTTTGTTGCCTGCATGTATGTCTTCTTTTGAGAAGTATCTGTTCATGCCCTTTGCCCACTTTTTAAATGGGATTGTTTGTTTTTGCTTGTAAATTTTTTTAAGTTCCTTGTAGATTCTGGATATTAGACAATTGTCAGCTGGATAGATTGCAAAATTTTTCTCCCATTCTGTAGGTTGTCTGTTCACTCTGATGATAGTTTCTTTTGCTGTGCACAAGCTTTTTAGTTTAATTAGATCCCATTTGTCAATTTTTGCTTTTGTTGCAATTGCTTTTGGCATTTTAGTTATGAAATCTTTGCCCATGCCTGTGTTCTGAATGGTATTGCCTAGATTTTCTTCTAGGGTTTTTATAGTTTTGGGTTTTACATTTAGGTCTTTAATCCATCTTGAGTTAATTTTTGTATGTGGTGTAAGGAAGGGGTCCAGCTTCAGTTTTCTGCATATGGCTAGCCAGTTCTCTCAGCACTGTTTATTAAATAGGGAATGCTTTCCCCATTGCTTGTTTTTGTCAGGTTTGTTGAAGAGCAGATGTTTGCAGGTGTGTAGTCTTAATTCTGAGTTCTCAATTCTGTTCCATTGGTCTATGTGTCTGTTCTTGTATCAGTACCATGCTGTTTTGATTACGGTAGCCTTGTAGTATAGTTTGAAGTTGGGTAGTATGATGCCTCTAGCTTTGTTCCTTTTGCTTAGGATTGTCTTGGCTACGCAGGCTCTTTTTTGGTTCCATATGCATTTAAAAATAGTTTTTCTAATTCTGTGAAGAATGTCAATGGTAGTTTAATAGGAATCACATTGAATCTATAAATTACTTTGGGCAGTGTGGCCATTTTCACAATACTGATTCTTCCTATTCGTGAGCATGGAATGTTTTTCCATTTGTTTGTGTCTTCTCTGATTTCTTTAAACAGTGGCTTGTAGTTCTCCTTGAAGAGGTCCCTCACTTCCCTTGTTAGCTGTATTCCAGTGCATTTTATTCTTTTTGTGGCAATTTGTGAATGGGAGTGCATTCATGATTTGGATCTCTGCTTTCATGTTGTTGGTGTATAGGAATGCTAGCAACTTTTGCATATTAATTTTGTATGCTGAGACTGCTGAAGTTGCATATCATCTTAAGAAGCTTTTGGGCTGAGACAACGGAGTTTTCTAGACATAGGATCATGTCTTCTGCAAGCAAAGATAAATTGACTTCCTCTCTTCCTATTTGAATATCATTTATTTCTTTCTCTTGCCTGATTGCCCTAGCCAGAACTTCCAATATTGTATTGAATAGAAGTGGTGACAGAGGGCATCCTTGTCTTGTGCCAGTTTTCAAGGCCTTCCCCTCACTCTTATCAACACCAGATACTTCTACTCTTCTACATCCTTGTCAGTCTAGTCAAAGAAAAATGATCTTATTGCTTTAATTTATGTTATTTGATCACTACCATATCTTTGCATTTCTTCTACGAATTGTCTGTTAGCTCTTTGAATGATTTTGGTCAAAAAATATCGACTTTCTCAGCATGTCCTTTCCTAGTTTAAGATTGTTCATGGGCATGCAGTGGGACTTACTGTTTAGTGCTGAGTTGTGTGGCTGTTTTCTGAGGTTAACATTTATTGAGCACATACTATGGGCCAGGCACTAGACAGCACCATCCCTGCCTTGTCTCATTTAACTCTCATCATAATTCTTGGGAGGTGAACTACGGTGAGACACTGAGACTTAGAGAGAGCGCCTCACTCTTCAACAGCTAATCACCAGCAGGATTACCTACGTGCTTTATTAGTGTTAACTAAAGGTGACTACATTGCATATGGAGCAAGTTGGCAGTGAGAAAAAATGACTCTTGAGCATGGTGGGATAGTGGATTAACAAATGGTGTTTGCTTTGGGCTCACAGTTATGCTATTCCATCCTCAAGGCCTTGCTGCAGGGCCCTTATCAAGACTTAAGTGAGTTGCAAATCTGCTCTGTCTTTATGGTGTATGTGGTGTGTGTGTGTACAGTGTGTGTAGTGTGTGTGGGTGTATGGTGTATGTGTGTATGAATGTGTGTGTTGTGTGTGTGTATGGTGCGTGTGTGGTGTGTGTAGTGTGTGTGATATTTGTGTGAGATCATGTGTTGGGTGTGTGTTGTGTGCATTGTGTGTTTATGTTGTGGACATGTTTGTATTGTGTGTGGTGTTAGGATGTATGGAATGTATGTATGGTGTATGTGGTGTGGTGTGTCTATAGTTTGTGTGCATGGTGTGTGTATGTGTGTAGTGTGTGCATTGTATGTGTTGTGGATATGTGCTGTGTTTATTGTGTGTGGTGTATAGGGTGTGTAGGCTATATCTATGGTGTGTATGTGTGGTGTGTATTAGTGTGTGGTCCCTGTATTGTGTGTGGTGTATGGAGTGTGTAGGGGGTGTGTTTCGTGTGTGTAGTGTGTTTGTGTTGTGGATATGGCTGTATGGGATGCGTGGGGGTATGCATGTTGTGTCTGTGGTGTGGTGTGTGTGTAGTGTGTGGTCTGTATGTGATGTGTGGGGTGTGTGGTGGGTATGTATGGTGTGTATGTGTGTGAGTGGTGTAGTGTGTGTAGTGTGTGGTCTGTATGTGGTGTGTGGGGTGTGTTTAGTGTGTTTGTGTTGTGGATATGGGTTGTGTGTATTGTGAATGGGGTGTGTGGGGATATGTATGGTGTGTGTGGTGTGGTGTGTGTAGTGTATTATCTGTGTGTATTGTGTGGTGTGTGGGGGTATGTATGGTGTGTATGTGTGCAGTGTGTGTAGTGTGTGGTCTGTCTGTGGTGTGTGGGGTGTGTTTAGTGTGTTTGTGTTGTGGATATGGGTTGTGTGTATTGTGAATGGGGTGTGTGGGGATATGTATCGTGTGTGTGGTGTGGTGTGTGTAGTGTATTATCTGTGTGTATTGTGTGGTGTGTGTGGGGTATGTATGGTGTGTATTTGTGCGGTGTGTGTACTGTGTGGTCTGTATGTGGTGTGTGGGGTGTGTGGGGGTATATATGGTGTGTGTGTGGTATGGTATATATGTGTATATGTGGTGCGTAGTATGCGTGTATGTTCCACACCAGACTTGAGGAGATTGTTTACCAGGCTCTCCCTGGCAAACACCCCAGGAGGCTGCAGGCGGAGGGATGGGTTTCCAGGGACAGAAGCGGCAGCTCTCACTGCAGGAGGCGCCATTTCCTGAGACCAGAGAAGCCAGGTTGTGTGGGAGAAGCCATCTTGGGGAAGGCCCAGCTCCTCACCAACTTGGGAGGATGTCGCTTCACCCCATGGCCTATCCTGGCTGGGAAGGAGAGCATCCCAGCAGTCAGGAGTGTGGACAGAAAAATGAAAAAGCTTTCAGAATATTCTACTCGGCATTAGGGCCCCAGGACCGTGTAGAGCTGGGAGGAGGTTCCTATAATGCTGGAGGTTGAATTTTCATCAACTGAGTGGGATGCAGATTCTGACTCAGATTTCATTTGCTTTTTGGGAAAATAATAGACACTTCTTGTATTCCCACGTTAATGTTTGCAAGTTCATTTTCACTACATGGAAAGAACATATCGTAGGCATATCTTACTAATGTATCCAAGGCATTAACACACAAAAAGATGCAGATGAATAAAATGATTTTAGCTCAGCAAGCAAATGGGTAAATGGGTACCAGAACACTAAACAACGAAGTTTGGGTGAAGCTTTGCATCTGGTTCCTATTAACCAAATTTGAGACAAAATATGCATTCCAAGTTTCCTGCCACTTAATTTAAAAAGCAATTTGGATTCAGGGGTCTCAGCTGAAGCTTGGTTTCAGCAATCCCATAGGCATTGAAACCACAAGCAGCCATAATGAGCCAGGCAGGCTCATAATTTCTTTCCCATATTGTAAAAGCAGTAACAACCACCTCTCAGAATATTTGGAAAATAGACAGTCGTCTCTCAAATCTCCTTCCAAATATAACTTTTAGCACTTTATGGGACATTCTTTCAGTATTGTTCTTGTGAAAATGGAAAGGATGTTATGTATATATTTGTGTGTGTGTATATATGACACATACACACATATATACACACATTTGTATTTATATTAGTATGAAAACACTCATACAATAGAAAATGGGGTGTACCATCTTTTAAGTTTTTTTTTTTTTATGTTGTAACATGGACATCATGACCCTTGTTTTTCTTCTTGCTTATAGATGTATAAGATGCTTCAGATGTATATCCTAGTTCCTAAACTATCTTCTGTGGCAGGTCATCAGGATGCCACTGATTTTTTGCTACTGGAAATAATGGTGTAGTCAAAACCTTTGTGCAGAAAGCTGTCAGTCAGAGGCAGGAACTTCTGAGGCTCAATGTTTTCCTTATGTCACCAAATCGCTTTCTAAAGGGCTGTGCCATTGTGCATCCAGCAGAGCCTATTTCACATACCTGTATCAGCTCTGTCCACCTTACTCTGAGGGTGCCTGGAAGATTCCGCTGCCTCTCCTCTTGCAGGACTACTGAGGGAGACTCGGGGCACCAACCCAGGCCATGGTTTTCCTCTGATGTTCAGTGTGCTGTCACCTTTGATAGTCTTAATTGGAAATAGAGACAAAAGCCCTTGGACCACAGCTTCCCCTTAACCTCCCATGATGGTCAGATTTCTGTGTCATCTTAACTGGCCACAGCCCCCAATTACCTAATCGAACACTGGCCTAGGTGTTGCTGTGAAAGTATTATGCAGATATGATTAAAGTTCATCATCGGCTAATTTAAGTAAGGGAGATTATCGTAGATGATCTGGGTGGGCCTGGTTCAATCAGTCAGAAGGCCTCAAGGGCAGAGTGAAGGCTTCCCTGAGGAGGAAGAAATTCTGCCCGTGGACAGCAGCCTCCACCCATGCCCATTCCAGCTTGGCCTTCCACAATGCTTCCAGATGGATTTGAAACTTGCCTAGCCAGCCCCATAATCATGTAAGTCAGTTCCTTGTGATAATTCTCTTAGTATGTGCCTCCGACTGGTTCTGCTTTTCTGGTTGGACCCTGACTGATACCCTCCCCAGGACCATTGCCATCTGCCTCCTGTCTTTTTGTCTGTCTCCCTACTTTTCCTGTCCAACCTCTCTCCCCATTCCTCTGTGAAAGGACTTTCCTTATACCTTCCCAGAGCCATCTGAGCAGACAAAGCATAAAGAGAGAAATCAATAACTAATCAGGAGCCATAAATCAGGAGGCATTTTCAACTTTCTACCTGTTTTCTTCACCATCAAACATTTCATTATAAAAAGTTTCAAACTATAAAAACTTTGGAGGCTGGGAGTGGTGGCTCACGCCTGTAATCCCAGCACTTTGGGAGGCCGGGGCGAGTGGATCACGAGGTCAGGAGATCGAGACCATCCTGGTTAACATGGTGAAACCCCCTCTCTACTAAAAATACAAAAAATTAGCCAGGCGTGGTGGCAGACGCCTGTAGTCCCAGCTACGCGGGAGGCTGAGGCAGGAGAATGGCGTGAATCTGGGAGGCGGAGCTTGCAGTGAGCCAAGATCATGCCACTGCACTCCAGCCTGGGCAACAGTGCAAGACTCCATCTCAAAAAAAAAAAAAAAAGAACTTTGGAAATTATATAGTAAATGTCCACACAACCCAGATTCTATTAACATTTATTACACTCACTTCTGTTATCTATCCATTCATGGATCCCCCTACTCATCCATTAATCCATTTTCTTCTTTGCTGCATTTCAGAGCAGAAATAGTAATTTCTTAGAAATTAATTAATTTCTGCAGATATTAATACCCTTCTCACTAAGTACTTCAGCATATACCTCATTAATCAGAATTTAATATTTATTTATAGCTCTTTTTTGGAGGAAAATTTCTTTCAACAAAATGCTCCAATCTAAAGTATACCATCCAATGAGTTTTGACAAATGCATCTACCCGTGTAACCCGAACTTCATCAATAGGGCATTTACATCGCCCAAAAGTCTCCCATGTTCATTTCCAACCTGTGTTTCATTCCAACACAACCAACTGCTAATCTGATTTATTTTCCTCCACAGATTATTTTTGTTTGTTCCGGAAATGCATAAATATGGAATGATAAAGAATGCACTCTTTTGAGTCTGGCTTCTTTCCTTCAGCACAATCGTCTTTAGATTCATGCATGTTACTGCGTGTATCCCTTGTTTGTTCCATTTTGCAGCTGACAAACATTTCCTTGTATGAATATACCATAGTTTGCTTTTTTTTTTTCCTATTGATGAATATCTGGGTTGTTTTGTCTATTATAAATACAGCTGCTATAAATGTTCTTGTGTAAATATTTTGGTGGATATATGTTTTTCATATATGTTGGGTTTATATCTAGAATTGAAATTGCTGTGTCATAGGGTGGAATTATGTTTGATTTTATATAAAGCCGCCAGAACTTTTCTCAAAGTTATTGAGCTATTTTACACTTCCACTAGTGATGTTTGAGGATTCTGAGAGCTCTACATCCTTACCAACACTTGGTACAGTCTATCTTTTATTTTTAGACATTCTGGTGGTGTGTAGTGATACTTCATGTTGGTTTTAGTTGCATTTTCCTGATGACTAATCACGTTGCGCTCTTTTTCAAGGTAACACTCTTTGAACATATGTTGTATACCCTGAATCATCATCTACCCCATCTTCATGGGGAATCATGGAGACCTAGTCAAGAATTGCATCCTGAGATTTTATCATGAGTAGAGTCTGCATGAAGCCAAGGTGGAATTCTCCACTCCAGTGGTGAATGTGGAGCCAGAGAGGCCTCCTACACATGCCAGGTTCCCAGAAGTGGTGGCGTCCAAAAAAAGGCAGTGGAACCTAGGTTTGAAGCTGTGTGTGAAGCAAAAGAGCAAGGGGGCCAGTGAGGGCCGTAGGCATGGTAAGGGCCAAGGGGACTGTGAAGACCATGGGGACAGTGAGGATCATGGGGCCAGTGAGGATCATGGGGACAGTGAGGACCATAGGGACAGTGAGGACCATGTGGACTGTGAGGACCATGGGAACAGTGAGGAACATGGGGACAGTGAGGAACATGGGGATTGTGAGGACCATGGTGACAGGACCATGGGGACAGTGAGGATCATGGGGACTGTGAGGAACATGGGGATTGTGAGGACCATGGGGACAGTGAGGATCATTGGGACATTGGGGACCATGGGGACAGTGAGGATCATTGGGACATTGGGGACCATGGGGACAGTGAAGATCATGGGGACATTGAGGACCATGGGGACAGTGAGGATCATTGGGACATTGGGGACCATGGGGACAGTGAGGATCATGGGGACATTGGGGACCATGGGGACAGTGAGGATCATGGGGACATTGAGGACCATGGGGACAGTGAGGATCATGGGGACAGTGAGGACCATGGGGATTGTGAGGAACTTGGGGATTGTGAGGAACATGGGGGCAGTGAGGACAATAGGGATGGTCATGATCATGGGGACTGTGAGGACCATGGAGATTGTGAGGACCATGGGGACAGTGAGAATCATGGGGTCAATGAGGACCATGGGACTAATGACACCCTTTGTTCTGGGATTTTTGAGTGTCTGGTTTTTTTTTTCACACATCAGCAATGGGTTATGTAGGGATATCTTGAGGTGAACTAATGATTGGGAACAATTTTACAATTAGGGGAATAGATTTTTCTGAATTAGTATGTAATCTTTACATAAAAAACACTGAACATGTTTCTCTTGCCCTTATTGTAAGCATTTCCCTCCATCTGTATTTTAAGGTTCCATCTTGGTAAGTAGCAACCCCATTTAAAGTGTGGGGTGCAGGGGAGTGGGATTGTGTGGTGGCTATCAGATGTTTATGAGTAATTTAATGTCTAACCTTTAATGCCTCTGCCATTCTGCCATCACTGACAACTATGATTAAGTAAGGATTTTAACTTAGATAAATGTGACAGGCATTCAGGAAAGACAAAGAGGTTTGCTGGTGAGCATTACTCAAAGCAAGACTTCAGTCAGAATCTATGCAAGTCAAGCTCTTGGAGTAAAAATGATTTGCTTCTCTAAGGACTCGAAATAATTCACCTACAGAGGAAAATGGATGGGAGCTGTTGGGTGGTGCGCCCTGCTCTAAGCAAAGCATATTTCGCAAAGTTGGACTTTTACAAAGGATACGAAAATGAAGGGTGCTTTTATATTTTAAACAGTTTTTGGTAGATAACAGCTCCCTAGAGAATTCATTCAAATTCCAAGTCTTTCTCCAGTCAGAACATAATTTGATTGTTAAAAATGTATCTCAGGCAACTGATTCCACCGGGCAGGCACAGTCTCAGTGCAAGAACGGGGCCTCCCTGGTTGCTGTGGAGCCGTCTTCTTCCCAGGAAACCTGGCAGCAGGGGCTAGCAAGCATGCCAGGCAGCCCTGGTTTGTGTGGGGCCTTGGTCTTTGGTGGCTGGGCAGAGCAAGGCAGGACTCACTGGGGTCCTTCTGACTCAGTCTTGGCTACACTGCAGTGACTGGGGGAAGTGAGGGAGTAAGTGATTGATTGATTGAGTGAATGAATGAATGAATGAGTGAATGACCCTGAGGAGCTCACGAGGCGGGGGAAATTGTAAGAACAGGATCGTATGCTTCCCAGGGAGTCCCTCATGAATACTTTGGACCCTTTAAGTCAGCTAGGGTGTTTACTACCGGCACCCCAAAAGGACCCATGGCAGGGCAGCTGTGCTGTAAGATCAGGGAAGAGGAGGTGGAATAGGGGTTGATGTGGGGTGGGGAGGTCAGTGGGGCCCTGCCCTTGGCCTGGAATTGTCACCCCACCTGGTTTGGTCTTCTCACCATGGCTTATAGGTCACCCCATGCCCTCCATTCCAGAATTCTGCTATACCAAGACAAAAGAAAACATTCAAGAGTGGCCTAAAGCACCTGGTTTATTCTCACCTGTAGCTAACTTGCATCTTTCCCTGTATCACTACTCATGCCTGCACCCAGGCTTGGAGAAAGCCTATGGAATGCAGGCCCTAGAGCAGGCCCTACCACAACCCAGCTTCACTCTTGGCAAATAATTGGGTCTGTGTTGTCAAAGAAAAAAAATTATTCACTTACTTGCTAAAGCACAGATAGGCTTTAACCAGCACAATAGTGTAAGGTCCACTGCAATGGGGTCTTGCAGTGGGAAGAGAGATTGGGCCCAACTCCAAATACAAGGGAAAGTGGGAGTCTACAGCCAAGGGGCGAGGTGGGGAGGGGAGTAATCAGTGGATGGAAAATTACTAAGAGGAAATCTCAGGTGTGGGGGATTCTGGCTAACAGGCCTTTTGCTGAATGCAGGCCAGGGTGACCAGACACCACCGGGGGAGTAGCGGGGGATGGGGAACCCAGATACTGAGAGTGATCAGATATCAAGGGTGGGGTTTCTGACAATACCAATTTAGCAAGATTCTTGCTAAAATCAGACAATGCAGAGAAAAGCATGAGAGTCCAAAAGTCAGGCCTAGTTGGAAAAGAGTTCAGCAGAGCCTGGGTAGAGTTTGGTCCAGGAGAGAATCTTTGCTGTGTTTTCTCACAAATAACATGAGTTGAAGTAAATGATCTCTAACAATTCTATGATCATTTTGTTGTCCCTTTAAGGCTTCCTTGGAGCATTTCTTGTTTTCTCAACTAGAATATTGCTGTCTCAGGGCAACACCGTGAAACCCACATCATTCCACAGCCACCAACAGAGGCACTTAGTGGACGCTCGCCACGTGTGTCTTTACTGGATTGGGAGGTGGCATGGGTTCCGATCAATCCAGCTGCTGGGATGATGGGGAAGCTTCTGAAACATTTGTTTCTGTTTAAAAGAGAATATATGATAAGCGAGAAAACCTCAGCTGATGTGGGAAGGGCAGCAACAATCTGAAAAAAGCAGCTTGGGACTTGACTCAGCGCAGCAAGCTGGTTTGAATTCAACCCCTGCCTCCTACCATTGCTAATTCATTCCCTGGGGGAAATGTGTGTTGTTCCTGTAGCTCCTGCTTCAGTTCCCCATCCGTGTGGAGAAGTTTCAGTTATATACAGAAGTAGAAAGGATGACACAATGAATGCAGGTATTCCTGCTGTAGCAGAGGCCACTGTGCCCAGCCCACGCCCTTGGTCTTGGCAGGTCCCAGCACAGTTCCCTTGGGTGCTGATGGTCCTGCCCTGCTGTGAAACAGCCTGAGCGCAAGGCTGGCCAGACACCCCAGGGGCTGCCATCAGCTGGCCAGAGGGGCAGAATTGGCTAACAAAGACCCCTGCCTCTTTGCCCTCGAGGAATGGCTCTTGGAGGTCCTGCAGTCTCTTAGAGTGTTCAGATGTCCACTCCTTAAACCCCTACATTTTGCTTTCTTTCCTCCCCTGACTCACTTCCTGTCTCCCTCGTGTTTCTGGGTCACCTCCCAATTCCTGTGTCAGAGCTGGCTTCGGGGAACCCAAACCGACACACTCCCACTCAGGACTCAGAAGTTATCACGATTTTGCCATACTTGCTTTATGCCTTCCCTTTCTTCTGAAATATTTTAAAACAAATTCTAGACATCATGAAATGATCTGGATCTACTCCAGGGGGGTAAAAAACAGAGCCACCTCCTGGATATGGCTCCCACACACAGGATTGCAGGTTCATTCACCTTTCCCACCCCTTCCCTCATCCGGCAAGTGGGCCCAGACTCTGTATGTGCCATCTGGAGACAAGTTGGGAACATGCCAATCCGTGTAGTGCTATTTTTCTTTTAACACATAAACCTAGAATCTTAAGTTGTGGGCGGGTGTGATAAAGTATGGGAAGATTCACTTTAAAAAAGGTCATCTTTCATTAGACAAAAGATATGGAGTTGGGAAGAGGATCGGTCCTTAGTGAGCCAAGTCCAAACTGCAGCCTAAGTGGGAGAGGTTGGTTTGCTATAAAAGACCAGCAGAAAGACATCACTTGGCACCAATGTTGCTTCACAGGGCATTGTTTCATGAGGGCCAGTTCCCCTCAGTTACCTGCATTAATGCAGTGATGTGGTCTTGACACGTGGCCTTTCCCTAAAGCAGGCCTTTTCTCTTTCTCTCAGCCTCCAAAGAGGCTTGGTGAGGGTGAAACACCATGGCTTTCTCTCTTTCAGCAGAATCGAGAGGCCAGTTTGCAAAGAGAGGTAGGTTCTTTCCATGTTGTCTTGAGAGTTTCCTTTGCCGTTGGCGTTGGTAGTGAGAGACATAAGGGTGTCAGGACATTTCGACAGATGGCAGGGACAAGCCTCCTGTCAGCCCTGTCCTCTGAGTGGTGGAGTTGAACACAGCTCTCCTGCTCTTCACGACTGCATATGGCGTGTAATCTTTGGACTTTGAGCAGAAACCCTGTCTTGGTGTGTCTGTGACAGGTGAGCAAGCGGCTTTGCTCTGAGGATTTCATAATGCACATTCCCTTGTAGAGACAGGTCTTGTCTTCCTGTTAAACAAAATGCTGCTTACCTCCTGGGTCCAACCAGAAACGATGTGTTGCTGATCACTGCCCAACTTGGAGACAAGTTCTCCCTGGGGTGGGGGTGAGAGAAGGTGGTCAGTGTGGCGAGTAAACAAATGGGGATGCCCAGTGCCTGCTGGCTGTGGTGTCTGCCTGCGTGAGTGCATGACAAATAATTTTTCATCTCTCAGAGAGCCACTGAAGGTATCAGTAATAAAATAAGATGTATATTTTTATTTTACTTTCACCATAAATCAAGGAGAAAGAGAGGGAAGGTAGACGTGCTTAGAATCTCCATTTTACAGTTGGGGAAACTGAGGCCAGGGCTGGGGTGCCTTGTTGATGGGGACGGACTTGGTTACAGTGCTGGGAGGCTGGGCATGGTATCTTTTTTTTTTTTTTTTTTTGAGACACATTCTCGCACTGTAGCCCAGGCTGGAGTGCAGTGGCGCGATCTCGGCTCACTGCAACCTTCGCCACCTGGGTTCAAGCGATTCTCCTGCCTCAGCCTCCCACGTAGCTGGAATTACAGGTGCCCACCACCATGCCCAGCTAATTTTTTTTATTTTTAGTAGAGACGGGGTTTCACTATGTTGGCCAGGCTGGTTTCAAACTCCTGACCTCGTGATCAGCCCCCCTCCGCCTCCCAAAGTGCTGGGATTACAGGCATGAGCCACCGCGCCTGGCTGGGCATGGTATCTTTGAATCAATTTTGAAATGCAAGCGCTTGGAAGCTAGGATAGTCATCCTGCCTCTTACTCACCTCTGTCCAGGCTTGGTGGCCCTTCTGAGGAGGTCACTGTGTGGCGGCCGGGAATGCCCCGCTCCTGCCCCCTCAGTGGACATCGGGGGATTCTCACGGCTGTGGGTGCCGTGCATCGGAGCTTTCCCAGTAGAGGCCTCTTCACAGCAATGCCCCTGGAGGTGAAGACGAAGCCAGGGCACTGTTGTGTGTTTGTGCTCCCGGCTGATTTATGAGCCTGGGTTGGGAACATTTCACATGATCCACAGTACAGCGTGGGAAGGGAATCACAGTACGGTTTCCTGACACAGAACAGCATTACTGACAAAGGCAAGCCAGGGTGTCCGCAGGCTGGCTGAGAATCTGGGAAGCCACTCCAGCACCAAATGAGGTGGGGGTCAGTGATGTCTGGGGCCCTAGTGGATGAGGGTGCTGGCTTCGGGGAGTGGGAAACTGTCGTGAAGAGGCACAACCCTAAATGTACAGCACCTCCCCTCCTGCTGCCTGCTCCTGCCCCTTCCAGTTCCCCCAGAAGGTGCTGTCCTGCAAGAGCAACCGATCCAGGCCAAACGCTTATTTGGAACAAGGTTTGAAAACAACGTAACAATACAAACCCACAAGACTGGAGAGAACCACAGGGCAAATTTAAATTTAAAAAACTTCTGTTACATCAGTTTTCATTCAAAACCTTTTGGTAGGAGGTTAGTTCTTTGAAAATAATAATAAAAAAGTAAATAAGGAAACAAGTTAAAGGTGGACTCATGGAAGAGGAAGAGAAACAAACACTTTTATCTCCTCTCTGCATCTACAAAAAGGTGCTGCCTCCCTCAATCTATAGTCTATAGGCTGAGACTGAGGCCGAGGGGCCACACACACGGCTTGAGGCCATGCGGCCCCAGCCTTGCTCTCTGAGAGTCGCTGGCTCTCTGCACTGTCTCTGGAGCCATCAGAGAAGCTGCAGATGGGAAAGGCCGCAGAGCCTCTCCTCCCGCAGCGCCGGGGCCCCAGGAGTCAGTGGTGCTCTGTTCTTTGAGGCTCAAATATATTACTCTGTAAACTGCCACTCTTTGACATCTTTTAGCGCCAGCTTCTCCAGATTGACAGATGCCATCTACTATACGATGAACTGTATCTCCCCAAAATAAATTGAAGCCCTAGGCACCAGTGCCTCAGAATGGAGATGGGGTCTTTATGGAGGTGATTAAGTTAAAATGAGGTTATGAGGTTGTGGCTGGGTGCAGTGGCTCATGCCTATAATCCCAGTAGTTTGGGAGGCCGAGGTGGGCGGATCACCTAAGGTCAGGAATACGAGACCAGCCTGGCCAACATGGCGAAATCCTGTCTCTACTAAAAATACAAAAAATTAGCCAGGTGTGGTGGCACACACCTGTAATCCCAGCTACTTGGGAGGCTGAGGCAGGAGAATTGTTTGAACCTGGGAGGTGGAGGTTGCAGTGAGCAGACATTGTGCCACTGCACTCCAGCCTAGGCAACAGAGTGAGACTCTGTCTCAAAAAAAAAAAAAAAAAAAAAAAGACAGGTTTTATGGGTGACCCTAATCCAGCAGGACTAGCGTCCTATAAGGAGAGGAGATAAGGTCACAGACACACACAGAGGGATGACCATGTGGGGACGCAGGGAGAAGCTGCCTTCAAGCCAAGGAGAGAGGCCTCAGAGGAGCCAACCCTGCTGCCACCCTGTCTCAGACTTCCAGCCTCCAGCGCTGTGAGATAACGCGTTTCTGTTGTTTAAGGCACCCTGTGGTGCTTTGCTTTGGCCGCCTGAGCTGACTGAGACATCAACCACGGTTGTGCAAATGTGTTTTCTTGAGCCAGTTCTGCCTTCTCCACAAAGCAGAGAACTGGATTTCAGGACACCCACAGATCACTGAGCTGGCTGCGGGGTATTCACTCAGCCTGTCACTGATGAGTCCTTTCTATCAGTCTCACTATTATTATGCTGTGAAAGATGTATTAGTTAATAGTTTTCCATTTTTATAACCCATAAACAGTGCCTGTGAGTAGCACAGCAAGATTAGTTTTATATGCAACATTGATGGAATTTCAAAATGAAAACCAAATAGTTTGGTCAGCAACCTTGGTGGTAAATGTGTAAGTTCTACCAGGCTGCTTGAAAATAGCCTGTAGATGGGCGTGGTTGGCTT